>NC_000001.11:209396708-209548223 GCF_000001405.40 Homo sapiens
CAACTGACTCCAGAGCTGGTCTCAGCCACTCTGTGGCCTGCATTGCTCCAGTAGCAGATGGGTCTGATAGAAGAGCATGTTGGCCCTGTGTACTTGTGAACAGCATGCAGGATGGAGAGAAAGGGGACAGTCCTGGAAGCAGGGACTCAGAAGCAGCCTCAATCCAGTTGGGAAGGAATCAGGGTTTTGAATAGGATGGTAACAGTCCATGTCGCAAAGATGAGGCCAATTTACCATATGAAACAATTTTGAGCTTTTGGATAAATGGCACAGTCACTGGCTGAGACAGGAGGTAGCATTACTGTGGGCAGCAACAAGTTTAGGGAGCTCTCTAAACTTTCCTATTTCTCTTTATGAAAGCAAAAGACCAGAAAATTATCTATAATTACTGAGCCATCAGCACTTAATTACAGCATCTCTTGCATGGGCCAACATGGCAAATGACTTCACACCACTAATGAGTGTCCTGAGCTCCTCTTCCCACTCCCAGTTTGACCTGGAATACACTGGCACGAACAGCCCTTCCAGTCCACTCTATACAGCAGAGGTATCAGAGTACAGGCTGTGTGGCCAGACAGACCTGTGTTCAGATCCTGTCCCCACCACTCACTAACTGAGGAACTTTAGACACTATTCAACTTCTCTGAGCCACAGTTTCCTCATCTGTAAAATGGGGGCTGTAAAATACATCAGTCCTGGGGAATGTCAGGATAAAATAAAAAGATAAATGCATAACATCTAGGACAATGCCTAACATATAATAAGCACTCTTTTAAAAAGCTATTATTATTGTATATTTCCACCCCTTCATCTGACTCATTTGAAGCTGAAAGAGGAAGAGGCAAACCGAGTGAAATTGCTTACATAAAAGCCAGATAGAGCCTGGCTATTCCACCGAAGGCAATAATTATAAAGCTGCTTCAGAGCACAGAGAGTTCCAAGAATGGAATACGCATTTGAAACAAGTTCATTAAAAAATTGCTTACTCATAAAAGCTACTATCGTTATAGCCTGACAAATGGAAGACACGACACTAATAAATAAGGAGCCGGTGGTAAACAAGCTGACTACACCAAGAATCCCTTGATTTCTCTCTTCCCCATCCTTCAACTGTTTCTTAATCTTTTATGGGCTTATAATGACAAGTTCAGGTGGGTTTTATGTGCCTGTTTACTCTGAGTTTTCTCCAAACTCCAAATGGAAGGGAAGAAGCCTCCAGGCTTCTCTACTTAGTCTCCCAGAATGGAATGAGGCAGTCTCGGCACCCAGCAGGCCTGGCTGCCACCTCTTTGCACCACAGAGTCAGCTCAGGCCTTTCCTCACCTCCACATCCTATCTAGAGACCTCTAAACCCTCACACCTTTGCACCAATGCATCTCCTCCTGCCTCATGGGTCCATTCCAAGGAGAGTGTCCTGCTGTTTTGCGGGACACTCTCCCAGTCAGTGTCCCGCTGTTTTTCCCTTCCAGTCAGTGTCCTGCTGTTTTGCCCCAGCCCAAATAGATCACATTCTCAGTTGTGGAATGAGTCCCTAACAGAAAGTCAGGAGACTGGGATGATTATGCAGTCCAGATGCTTACTAGCTGGACATTGCCACTCAACTTCCCTGAGTCTCAGTTTTGCTGTCTATAACCTGGGGATAACAATACTTCCCTCACAGTGTTCCAGCAGAGGTTAAATAAGTTTATAGTGACAAACTTGCCCTATGGAGTGTCTGGCACATGTGGCAGATGTTGCAGTTACTCAGTGGCAATAATTCAGCACCCTGTATCTGAGCTCCGTCCTGTGATCTTGGGTGTGGGGGTGGCAATGAAAAGAGAGGAGAATGCCCACAACGGTCTACCCTCAGAGTTTTGACTCACCATGCAATCAAGAGACTTCAACTTGCTTTCAAAGAGTTTCTAAGTGCAGATATGACCTAAGGAAATGGGGTGAAGAGAGTGGGGTGCTGGTACCCTCCCCTGCACTCACCTGCCTCCGCCCTGCCCCAGCCCTGCAGGACTTGACTATGTCTTGCTCCCTTGCCAAAAAAGGACAGCAACATCAGACAGGAAGCAGCTTAGCGCTTTCACAGAGCCTGGGGCCAAACAAACATGTGTCAGCATTTACCAGAAACCCTGGTAAATCTTACAAATTCTTACATAACAAAAGCATGTAATCTCTGAGTCCACATATTCCTTTTTCAAGCAAGCCCCACCTACTTGACTACTGTTTTTCAGGAGGTTAAAACAAAAAATGATGTGTCACTTAGTTACACAAATGAACAGCCGATTTGGACTTTGAAAAACTCTTAGGTATTTTGTAAAAACGGAGCTAAATACTAAGTAATAAATTTTGGGAGCCAAATCCTTCCAAAACAAAATTTCCTTGAGAATTGCCCTTCTGCGCATGGGTAACTATTGCTCTCAGAGACAAGAAATGGCTTGCTTGGATTCAAATATGCAAAAGCTAGGTTTTAGGCATCCACTCTCTTATTCTAGAAAGATTTATTGAATACACACTATGTGGAAAGCATCATGCTAGGTGCTACAATACAAAGATCAAAAGGTTCAAGAGATAGAGGCAAGCTGTCTCTAAACTAAGATGCTGCTGGGGACCCACTCTGGGGATCTTTTTAGCCTGACTTAGCAACAGGCCATGTATTTAATTAGAGTCTTCATTCTACTGACGCTTCCTCCAAACTTGCACCTTGATCAGAAGATAAAGGTCAGTCCCTCTGATCTCACTGTAAGCTTTTTGGAGGCATAAGAACAGGGTCTTTGTCATTTTTTTCTCCAGCACCAGATGTAATGCTTACCCCATCCCTAAGAGGCACTCTGTCGGGAGTTGAGCAGGCCTCGGCTCCGATCACTGTGGCATTCTAAGCAGGTGCCACTGACAATGTGACTCAGTTTGTCTAAGCTGCAGTTTCCTCATCTGTGAAACAGAGATACTTTTGATCTGAGAAGGTTGGAAGGAGGAACAAAGCAAGGGTCTGGAAGGGGCTGGCCAAGAAACCTGTCATGCAGTCGGAGGTCAGCACTTCACGGGAGCTCCTAGTGTTAAATGTGGAACCACCCAATGTCCCCTGTGAGGGAGCTCAGTGACATTAGGGGCAGACAAAGATACTAGAATGGGAACAATCAGATTCTACAGCTAAAAAAATAAAAAAGAAGAAAAAAAAGCAAAAGTGAATTTTCTCCCCATTTCACTAAAATAATATGCTCTAAGCCTGAGACCTTTTCCCTCCTGTCTGCTGCCTGAAACTCATTTCTCCAACAGAGATCTAAGCCACCATAAATCTCATCAGGGGTCAAAATGGCTGACACAATTTTAACTACAAGCAACCACAGCAGAAATGGCGTCATTATTATCCCCAAGGGCTGCTCTCTGCCTTTTCTAAGGGACAAAAGAAAAAGTCATATTTTTTAGCCTGGAAATATAGGGATTTCCTGCATTCATATATATATATATACATATATATATGTAGTATTCTAGAATTTTCAAGGGACAAAATCAAGAACCCAGAAGCACAAAAACTGTGAAAGGAAAGTATGACCAGACATAAAGTTGAGCACTATTTCTGCCTTAAACAAACAAACAAAGAAAAACTCCTTGCTGCCATGCTACCCAAAAACCTAGAAAAACTATTTCTAAGTAATACAATCAGCTATGTCTCCAATCTCCTGTGACTCTCGGTTTTCTACATTCTATAACCAGGTCTCATCTACGGCACTTGCTCCCTGACTGAGTCCACATGCTTTCCCCTGGGGAGGCACAGTACTGCAATGTGATTCTGACACTAATCACCCAGAGTCAGTGCAGACTTCACAGATGAAAGGCACAGCCTCCAAAAGACTGCCTCACTTCAGTCACCAGCCACAAGTTCAAGGGTCTTCAGACCACCTACACTTCTGGCTGCAAATTTGGGGGTTTCCACAGCCCCCTCAAATTCAATAATTCACTAGAATGACTCACAGAACTCAGTCAAGTGCTACGCTTAGGATAAAAGTTTTACCATAAAAGGTACAAATCAGAGCCAGTCAAGTGAAAAAAATACCCAGGGCAAGGTCTGGGAGGGTTCAGAATGTGGAGTTTCCATGCCTTCCCCCCCATGGACTCAGGTTGGTTCACCCTCCCATCACATTGATGTGTTCACCAATCAGAAAGGTCATTTGCACTTTGGTGTCCAGCGTTTTCACTGGGGTTTCATGATGTAGGTATCACTGATTGAATCATTGGCCAAGTGGTTAATCTCCATCTTCCAATCCCTCCCGGAGGTTGGACCAATATCACATGGCTCAAAGCACCAACTCTCTAATCACACGATTGGCCTTTCAAGCATGACCAGCCCCCATCCTGAAATTATGTAGGGGCTCACTGTGAGTCACCTCACTAACATAAACCCAGGCATGGTCCCAAGGGCTCACTATGAATAACAGACAGTCTTATCACCTGGGAAAGTTAGAGGGTTTGTTTAGAAGTTCCATCCCAGGAACGCAGGACAAAGGCCAGACAAATGCTTCATTATACAAAAGGAGGGAAGGCTTCAGCATCTTAGATACTAACAACCTAGACCCAAGGCTTGTCCCCCTGTTGTCACTTTCAGCAAATTAAACTCTCCCTTGCTGACTCCTCAGTCTCTTCATCATCTGGTACCACTATGCCTGGCCAATCTCATTTCTGCTGTTCCCCATCATAAAATCTGCATCCTACCCCTCCTGGTCTATCTCAATCTCCCCACACAAGTTACAGAATACTGAGATAACCTCAGGCGTGCACATGAATAAGACCTGAGCATGGACAAATAAGACCAGTAGGACCGAACCAACATTAGTATTTAAAAGTGAGCAAAGAAAGAGAAGCCCATGAAGGAGTCTGAAGAGGTGGGGAAATCCAGCTGCTGCACGTGGTGATGGAAGCCCAGGAAAAGAGTTTTTCAGTATGCAGGAAAGGACCAACAGTGTCAGCCGCTGCAGAGAGGTCAAGGAAGATAATGACTTAAAAGTTGCCATTGGATTCAGCAATAAAGTAGTCATCTACAACCTTGCTGAGAGCAGTTTCAGCAGAACAATAAGGGCAGAAGCCAGCTTGCAGTGGGTAGAATACAGAATGGGAAGTAAAGAAGCTGAGCGACAGATACAGATGCCTTTTTAAAGAGAAAGCGGTGGCTGAAAAGTGCCATGGGGCCAGCAAGGAATTGAATATACAAGACGGAAGGCTTAAACATGTTTAGGTCCTGATAGAGAGAGGGGAAAAGAGAGAGGGACAGGGTGAAGGGACAGGGAAGAGAAAGGGAAAAGTGATCAAGCCAGGCTGCTAAGGAGGTAGGAGAGAAAAACTCCAGAGGACAAAAAAAGGGATAAGCTCAGACAGAGAGAGGCTCCTCTTCCATAAAATCAGAAGTGAAGAAAAGAGGCATGGTGGCAGATGTAGGTAAGTTGTAGGTTTGATGGCACTGAGTTAAGGGGTGGGATGTTTCCATCTCTGGGTTCTACACTTTCTGTGAAGTAGGAAGCAATGTCAAATGCTTAACTTGTGAAGGCCAAATATTTGAGGAGTGGAGGAGAGTGAAGAAGGCACTGAAAATCTAGTCTAGAGAACTAGAGAGAGCGGTGACTAAGGAAGCCTAGAATGATCACAGGAGAGTGGCAGGGAGCAGTGGGGTCTGGGAAATGGGAGACAGTAGTACAATGAGTCTACAGATCGTGTGGGTTTCTCTATGACATGCAGCAACACTGGCAGAGAAGGCTAATAGTTTGTTAGCTCCAGGGTTGAGGTTTTGCCATCCAAGTATGAAAGAAAGCCAATAGGGCAACAATATTAGCAAGACAGAGGTTGAAGTAAAATGAAGCTGAGAGGGTATGGTATGAGAAGGTATGACTGAAAAGAGAGAGAGAGAGAGAGAGAGAGAGAGAGATCAGTGGTCTGGGAGTCCCTAGTTTTGAAATAGAAATAATGTCAATGATTGAGTACAAGAAGTAGAAAGATAGAAGGTTGTGGTGTGGGAGGTGACCTAGGGGATGATGAGGTCCAGGTGGGGTGGACGTGTTGAGAAGAGAAGATGCAGGAATGGGGGGGTCGAGTGTTGCTGGGCATCTTCATGAGCCCAGAAGAAGCCCAGGATGAAAGCAGGGTTCAGATGGAAGAAAAGACTGTGTAACACATGCTGGTGTCATTAGTGAATGGGGAGAATGACTAAGAGAGTGTTAGATGAGGAAGAGGAAATGCAGAGTGGAAATCACTAATCAGAGGCCTGTGGGCCAACTCAGACCCAATAGCCAGGTTTCATTTGGCTGTCATGGTGTTTTTTCTTATTTTTTTTTTTGATGATGGTTTACTATCTACCATTTTTAAAAAAAATCAGGAAAGTTCATATAAAAATCTAGATTCCTTGAAAGCCTTCTCTTAGAAACTATAAAGATCTGGGAAAAGGCCGGGCACAGTGGCTCAGGCCTGTAATCCCAGCACTTTGGGAGGCCAAGGCGGGAGGATCACCTAAGGTTGGGAGTTCGAGACCAGCCTGACCAACATGGAGAAACTCTGTCTCTACTAAAAATGCAAAAAATTAGGCAGGTATGGTGGCGCATGCCTGTAATCCCAGCTACTCGGGAGGCTGAGGCAGGAGAATCGCTTGAACCTGGGAGGTGGAGGTTGCAGTGAGCCGAGATCACGCCATTGCATTCCAGCCTGGGCGACAGAGTGAGAATCCGTCTCAAAAAAAAAAAAAAAAAAAAAAAAGATCTGGGAACACAGGGTTTATCTCCTTCAACTGTGAACTGCGGAGCAACTGTGCCCTTTTTGAGCATCATGGGGTCTCCAGCTCACCACTGAACCCCCTAGGGCTTGTGTCACTCATTTAAGAGGCAGACCTGCCCTTGTCACAGTACACTGGAGACACTTTGGAGAGCACTGGCAATGCCAGTGAGCTTGAGCCTAAAAGCGGCCAAGACTTTCACTTGAATCATTTGGGGAGTGAAGATGGGGAGCAGGGATGGTGCCAACGCCAGCGGCTGATGCTGAGATGCAGCAGAATTAGCAGTCTCCCCTTGAGAAGGCTACAGAGAACACAGAACACTCGAGGGAGAGGCAGGTGCAGATGAAAAGGCAGAGGGAGTGAAGTGGTCAAGGAAGAGTCTGAGGCTACGAATGAGTTTATTCACCATGGACATTCCAGAGGACAGACATAAAACTGTTGGTAGGAGCTGGGCCAGGCAAGGGGAAGCACAGGGTGATGGCACAGGATCGGAAATCACCTGGGGAAACATTTCAGGTGTAAGCGTCTAATGAGAAGTCTCAAAAATGTCAAGCTAATTACTCTTGGGAGCAACCTGGTGGTTGGGTTGGAGTCACTGACCTGGACCCTGGGCACCCAAATTGCCTTGGCACAGAGACCTTTCCAGGACAGCTCAGGCATACCTAAGAATCACCTTAATACCAGGTCACCGGGAAGTGAGTCAGGCTAAATTTCAAATCCTCTTCCTCTGCTCTGTCCGTGAGTCACAGAAGATCAATAGGAGGAATCTCAGTCAGATTCGACACTGGTTATCCCAAGCAAGAGCCCTTTTTATAGCATTCTTACAACAATGAATTTAGTCACCTTGCGGGCCACACAATTCGCTGACAACAAGGGGAGAGAGGAGCAGAAAGGGAAGATGCCAAAAACATGCTATGTCTATTTCAAAATTTCCCCCTAATTTGGCTCAAGGTGCAGGAGAAAGGAGTAGAAACTCTCTACCTTCTCCTCCCTCACCACATAGATTCCAACTCCATCAATCTAAAACTCTTAGCAATACATTTCCAACAAACTAGTATGTATTAAATGGACTGTTGTGTATAGGCTGAAAAAGCTGATCACCATATTAAAGGGCTAATTTGAAGTAAATTGTGTTCCAGATTCTAAAAACCCAACTTGTAAACTCCAGCACACAGCTCATCAGTAGGGTGAAGGCTGCCTATATACTAAAACCAAATTTCTGAAAGCATATAAAAGTTTCAGCTTGTTTTGTTCAGGAACACTATCAATCAAGGCACCCTGACTTCCACCTTCTGACAATAATGACCCATTCGTCAAAGACTCTCTTTGTTCATCTTACAAACAGCTTCCTGCCCACGCCTCCCTGGAATCAGCCCAGGCTCCTCCTGCAGTCCTTTGGGAGATGTCAAGACCCTGTGGACATGGTGCACCTGTGGTTTTCACTGCAGACCTGAGCCCCTAAGTAGGGGATTATTGGGGTAAAGGGTGTGAACTCAAGAATGAACAGGGCGATAATGCTGATCAGTGGGTCCCCTCATTCTACAACATAGTGAAACATCCCATAGGCTCTCTATACCCTTCCCCTCTCAATAGCTTGCTATACAATCTTAAACAAACTCAAAGAGGTCTGTGATCAGGATACAACTTTCCTTTCAGATTTCCAATTGTAGATTTTCTTCCTCTTTTGCCTTTTTGCTGTTCTCCTCTTGTCAAAAAGGAGCAATAAAAGGAATTGGGAAACTCATACTTTCTTACCTTGTCTCACTTCAGTATAAACAAGACAATGTCTTATTTAAAAAAAAGAGGGTGGAGTGGTAGTGGGAGAGGGGAGAAAGGTGATATTTAATTTATTGGGGAGGACGAATCATTGCTGGAGAATGCCTGTGGCTAAATGAGACCATCAAACCAAGAGCAGAGCGGCAAACCGCATGCACAAATATGAAGTAATATCTTTCTACTCTGAGGGAAGCTGACACTCAATTTCAGAAGCTTCAGGCTAGCAGCCACAGCTACCTTCTTGGAACCATTTACAACTGCTTCTACTCTCTGCAGTGAAAGCTTAAAAATGCAAATGAAATGGGGCCATTTAAAGAAAAATATCCCTTCTAACTGTGCTCTGGGAAAGAAGAAAAAAAACCCTACAGCTCAGAGGGCAATCTTAAAGTAAATGAAACTCGGCGGTGCTAGCTGATGCCTCATTCTGATGGATAATGTGTGCTCTCCTCCCCCCTCCTGAGTTTAGAAGTATTTAAAGAAAAGGGTGGAATCACCCTGTTTAGGAGATTAATTTCTTTTCTGAAAAAAATGTCTGTTTTCCCTGTCACTTCTGGTTTGATGAAGGGTAAAACCAGAGCTTATTCTAAATGTTTGCTGCTGAAAATTACCAAAGGCATGTGTGTGGAAGGGAATGATGACGGGAACAAAATTCTGAAGAGATCAACTCCTGCCCCGTCTCCTTAGGCAAATCCATGCTTATGTTATCCTGGAAGCCATTGTAAAAGTGTTTCTTCAGGGACAGAGATTCTAATAATATGTCAAATATTTTTTGAACACTAAACACCAAGGACTGAGCTTAGCACTTTACATGAATTATCTTACCTTCAAAATTCCCTCTCCCCAGCAAGCACACTCATAGTAGGTCCCATTACTCTACCCGTTTTACAAGCGAGACAAGTAAAGTTAGGCAGATCAAACAACTTGCTTACAGTGAAATAGCTGAAAAGTAGCCTGGCTGGAATTCCAGTTAAGATTTTCAACTCCAGAGCCCAGAGCTCTGTGTGGTCCATAACATCCTCTCAAGGGATGTTCATTTTAATTCCACTCACTAAGGCTCACCAAATTAACATAATTCAGGAAATGATGTCTCACTTTCATTTTTTTTTTTTTATGTTTGAAATGTTCACAAAACCACCGCACTGATGACACAATGTAGTCAGTGTTTGGTGAGCAGGCACTATAAACCTAAGGCTGAGGGAAAAAGTGGGGTTGGGGGCAGTTCACCAAAGGACATGTGGCACTTCACGCCCTTCACGTGCTTAGGATATAATTGGAAGCCTGTCTCTGACAAGCCACTTAACTCAATAGAAGCACCTACATTGATTTGGAACCTAAATTTTTCTTGGTGTGCAGCTCAAGTCCATTTTCCCACTTTATCATGAGGTATTTGAGCCAGGCTACCAACCTCACCACTTTCTCTAATTCTTAGGTGAAGAGTGCAGTCCGAATCTGACAACAGGCAGAGCAATAAGAACTCTCCTACACTGCTGGAGGCAATGAAAATTGATAGAATCATTAGGAAAATAGTTTGGCATTATCTCAGAAATTCAGAGATGTGTATATCATACAATCCAGAATTCCCAACCTTATGCATGAGCACCAGAAGTCACGCATATGAATGTTCCTAGCAGCAGCATCTATTACAAACTTTTGACAAATGATCTATTGAAAATAAATTAATTACAGCTGCATGCATGTATCAACATGGATGAATCTTATAAGCATAATAAGCTACAGAAGAAAGTCACAAATGAAAACATACCATATGATATACATGACATTGAAAACAGACAAAACTATACTATGCTGTTTAGAGATGCATAATAGGTAGTAAAGCTATTTTGTAAAAAAAAAAAAAAAAAAAAAAAAAACAGATCATCACAAAAGTCTGAAGAGTGGTCATCTCCAAGAGGAGGGAATGGAAGTGATGGGTTAAGGGCATCTGAAAGGGTTGGGGACTTCTAAGATACTGGCAAATTCTCAGTATTAAACCTGTATGGGGACTAGAAGGAGATCCATTTTTAAAATATTTATTAAATTGTACATAGTAAAATGCATATTTGTTATATAACATGGTCTTTTGCATGTATGATATATTATATATGAATATACTCTTGCATATGTTAATACATATCAAGAAAGTATGCAGCCTTACTCAATCTGAGGCACAGAGTAAGCCTCTGTTTTCATGTGGAGTTACAGACGTTCTGAAATCATTGGGATTGCTTCTCACCCTGAAATGTTCCCTAGAGCATGTCACCCTGAGACTGTCCAGTCCCGATTTTGATACTTACAGTTACAGGAAACTCAATACCTCGCACATAAGCCCATTCCTTCTTCTTTGTTTGGTTTATTCCATAGGCAATGGAGCCCCCAATTTGTTTTTCAACTGTGGTAAAATATATATAAAATTTACCATTTTAGCCATTTTTAAGTGTACAGTTCAGTGGCAGTAAGTTCGTTCACATTACTGTGCTACCATCCATCTCTAGAGCTTTTCATCTTCCCAACCTGAAACTCTATACCCATTAAATAACAGCTTCCCATTGTCCTCTCCCCAAGTCCCTGGCAACCACCATTCTCCTTTCTGTCTCTATGAATTTGACTACTCTAGCACGCATGTAAGTGGAATCATTATGATACTTGTCCTTTTGTGACTGGCTTATTTTACTTAGCACAATATTTTCAAGGTTCATCTGCATTGTAGTATGTGTCAGAATTTCCTTCCTTTTGAAGGCCTAATAATATTTCATTGCATGTATGTAACACATTTTGCTCATCCACTCATTTGTGGATGGATGGTTGGGTTGCTATGACCTTTTGGCTATTGTGAATAATGCTGCTATAAATAGGCATGTAAGCCCATTTCTTCTTGACTGCTAGTTAGTTTTTCCTTATACTCAATTAAAATTTGCCTCCTTGTAACTTCTGCCGGTTGGTCTTCATTCTACTACCTTAACTTCTTGCAAGGCAAACCCTCTCCATTTTCCTTACAGGAAACCTCAAATATTGGAAGACAACCTTGACATTTTAGTCATCTCTTTTATAGCCCAGATACGACAAGTTCTTTTAGTCGTTCAATCATTCCTCATGTAACATATTTTCCAAGCCCTTCACCAACCTAACATGATTCTCTGGACACATCTTAGATCATATTTGCTTTTAGGAAAACCACATGTCACTATTGTTTCATCTTTTGGTTATGGTCCAATAAAGAGTCCTTTACGTAAAAAGCCCTTGCCTTTTCAATATTAGCATCTGCAAAACTAGCTTTCCCTATTCTGTCATTGCACAGTTGATTTTTTTGAGCATTGGTGCAGTAGATTAACATTTATATGTGTTAAGTCTCATCTTCTTGAATCTGATCCAGACTTCTAGTGTATAGAGATTACTTTTAATGTTTTCTCCATCACTCTATGTCATACAAAAAATTGGAAATCTATTTGTTACTGTGTTCCTTCAAATTATTGATTTATATATTAAAGATCACATAGTTATAGCAAAAGTAAACCTTACCAGCCTCTCCTTCCAGATTATCAACACTCTTTAAATACCTAAATTCAACCAACTGGAAATGCACTTAACTTCAACAGTGCCTAATTCAGCTATCGTAGTCTTATCCACTAGGATATCATAGAACACCATGTCAAACATGTTATGGAAATAGAGATATTCTAGGTTTATGGACCTTCACAGATTTGCCAGTGTAGTCAGTTCATAATGGGTCAGTTTATGGTAGCAGTATCCGTACTGGTTGCTAGAGATCACCTCATTCTTTTCTAAGCATGCATAAAGCATGAGTTTAATATACTGTTGAAGAATTCTATCAGATCCAAGGCCAAGTTTTGTTAGAGGTGGCTTCCAAAACTCCTTTTTCCCTCTTTTTGAAAATTAGAAGAATATTTTTCTATTTCTAGTATTCTGGGAAATTTTTCATCTTTGTGATGTGGAAAACAAGAGTTTTGAGATTTCATCTAAAAATGTCTTTATTATATGAGATCCAGCCACCTGGACATGAAGACTGTGATCTGATTCAAAATGACTACATAATAATATCTCTCCACCCACCCTTAACTTATAGATTCTAACCTCTCTAATTTGACTTCCCTATTCTTCTTCTTCTTTTTTTTTGAGACGGAGTCTCACTCTGTCACCCAGGCTGGCGTGCAGTCGCCCAATCTCGGCTCCCTGCAACCTCCGCCTCCTGGGCTCAAGCAATTCTCCTGCTTCAGCCTCCCAAGTAGCTGGGATTACAGGCATGTGCCACAACCCCTGGCTAATTTTTGTATTTTTAGTAGAGACAGGGTTTCATCATGTTGGCCAGGCTGGTCTTGAACTCCTGACCTCAGGTGATTTGCCCGCCTCACCTCCCAAAGTGCTGGGATTACAGGAGTAAGCCACCACGCCTGGCTTCCCTATTCTTGAAAGAGATTGAACTTCAACTTCCACTGGGCTTTCATCTTCTCTCATTTATTTGTTAACTTGACAATTTCCTCAAAGAGTTGGCCCATCCATTCTTGATCATTTTCATTGTTTTTCTTGTATATTTAAGTCATTTTTTTGGTTGAGAGAAGATTTGTGATCCACAGTAGAAACGAAGGAGATGACAGATACCCCGGCACCAAAACTGACACCAGGTTTTTGTTGCTTCTTCCACTATATAATGGAGAAGTTCTGTTTACTCTAGTTGTGCAACTACTGTTAACATTGGCTTAAGGAAACCCAAGAAACTGAATCACATCAAAGGTATGTCAGAGGTATGTGAACCAGAGCAACTCCATCTTGAATAAGAGCTGGATAAAATAAGGCTGAGACCTACTGGGCTGCATTCCTAGATGGTTAAGGCATTCTGAGTCATAGGATGAGACAGGAGGTCCACACAAGATACAGGTCATAAAGACCTTGCTGATAAAACAGGTTGCAGTAAAGAAGCCAGCTAAAATCCACCAAAACTAAGATGGCCATGAGTGTGACCTCTGTTGTCCTCACTGCTACACTCCCACCAGCGCCATGACAATTTACAAATGCCATGGCAACATCAGGAAGTTACCCTATATGGTCTAAAAGAGGGAGGCATGAATAATCCACCCCTTGTTTAGCATATAATCAAGAAATAACCATAAAAACGGGCAACCAGCAGCCCTTGGGACTGCTCTGTCTATGGAGTAGCCATTCTTTTATTCCTTTACTGTCCTAATAAACTTGCTTTCACTTTACTCTATGGACTGGCTCTGAATTCTTTCTTGCACAAGATCCAAGAACCCTATTTTGGGGTCTGCATCAGGACCTCTTCCCTGAAACAGATAGACATGGACATCAGCCCCACTCGTTGCCACTTTATTGACCCAGGGAATATCAGGGCTCAGTATCCTCATATCTCAAATGAAGAACTGAATTCAATCTTCCTAACTGAGGCAATACTGCCACTTTGAAAGGGAAGTTCTCTGCTATGTGGAACTATATCACATTCCGTAGATTGCTTAGCATCCATGATTTTGGGACATTAAATGCAATTGTGTCCCTTGGTCACTGTCACTGTGAAAATCCCAAACAACCATATACATATCCAAATGTCCCTGGCTGAGACCCACTGGTATGATCTCTAATGTCCCCTTCAGCTCTGAATTTCTGGATCTATCCTTGTTTGCAGACAGATGCTTTGAAGTTTTCAATCATTAATAACTTTATGTTAAGTTTTAGTCAATAATGTATTACATTATTGGAAGTCATTTTCTAGATGAAATAGAGGTGGTCTGTTCAATTACAGCAGACATGCAACATTTTAATCCAATTTTTCAAAATTAGCAGGAGTAACTAATTACAAATCTAGACATTAAGAAAAACTGGTACACAATTAATCATTTAAGTCAACTGAATGAAGAGCCTAGATGAATTTTAAAATGTTGACAAATTCTTATTACAGCATCACAATAAAGAAAAGCAAGCTGCTAAAGCTATGTATTTTTCCTTTGTTTTAAAAAAGTGAAAGGCTAACCAGTTTCTTATTCTCTACTGTAACTTGAAATTCTTCTGCAGATCAAAAGAATTTCCCCAAATCCAAGAGAATTATCTTTCTGCGCAGAACTGTGTATTTGCCTTCTCTCAGAGCAAATAATTTAGTCCATCAACATTGTGCTTTCCAAGGAGGCTTATTTTTTATCCTTCCTCTTTGCAATATCTCCCTGTCCCCACTCTAGTAGCACACACACCAGCCCCTTCCATCACCCCTACAACTGCCACTGGCACCACCGACACTACCACCACCCAAGGAGAGCCAGAATGACGACCAGCTTGCTTCCCCTCAGCAGAAATGGGCATGACTACTCAAATGCAATACAGGGTTCTTTACAGACAACATGCTCAGAAAATGTTTTCTTAGCAGAGCGGAAGGCCACCCCCTACTTCCCACCAAAAATATCTGGCCTCTCTCAAGGCTTTCTGAGCAAGTCCAGACAGACAGAAAAGGGTTGTGAAACTGAAGATGCCTCTTTATTTTTTTTTCTTGGTAGGAGAGTGAGAAATGGGGAAGGAATAATTTTACAACAATGAGTTCTGTCAGGCTTCTTTTCCCTTTCCAACAGTTCTAGGATCTAGCATCAGCAAAACATGTTATGTCATGCCCTGGTGAGGAGACAAAAAGGGAAGGAATTCAAACTGCAATGGGTGGGGCTTTAAGATGCGTGGCCTCTCTTATTGCTATTTATTTCCTTTCTCACTGGCCTTTGGAAAAAAAGAAAAAAAAAACGGCAAAGGATTTGGGGGCTACACCAAAAGAAAGTGAAGGAGCAGAGTATGTGAGAAACTGAAATCTATGTAACTACTTGAAGCAATTGGAAGTTCAGCCCAAACCTCAAATTCATTTTTGTTTTTCTGCTAATTATCTGGCATAGAAAGCCAGCCCTGGGGCAGCTGCTTCCCAGCAAATGGATCCAGGTCTTCAGTCTGGATTGGGACCAGGCTTTGGACAAAGGCTGTGTAATTTTCATAGCTTCTTTTGCCATTTACAGAAGAAATGGGACTAGCTACTCTTCCTTCAGGACAGAGCCAACAAATACAGGTTCCTACTGTAGCTGCTGGGATCCAGGTTAGATAATGAAGTTACTGGCAGTGCATCCTGCAACAAAAGGATGTTGTGAAACATCTCCTCCAGAAGTCTGAATATCTGAAGAGTTTCTCATCTCTCTCCTCTGTCTTTTCTGACCCTTTCAGGAGGCAATAGAGTTGCTAACAGCTTCATTCTTCTTTCCTTCCTTTCTTCATTTCTTAATTTAGCAAACATTTATTCAGCATCTATTGTGTCACTTTTTATACTTGAAACTTGGAGGAAGAGAAGGGAAACCAGTAAAAGTCTTTGATTCTAATCCAGGTGATTGATATCCATGGTTTACACCAAGGTAGCAGTAATGGGAATGGGCAGAAATGGTTAGATTCAAGGCAATGTTAACGTGGTAGAACTGACAAATTTGGGTGACAAATAGCAATATGGAGGGTAAGGAGGAAGAGAAAAATCAAGGTTGACTCCTAAATTTCTGGTTTGATCCACTGAGTAAAAGATGATGTCATTTGCAGAGGAAATGAACACAGGAGGGTGTGAGACAGCAAGTTTGGGAGAAAATATAATGAATTCCATTTTAGGCAGGTTGAGGTTGAACTCCACTTGAAATATCCAAGTGGAGATGTGGACAAGGAAGCTGGAGAAATGGATCTTGTGCTTAGGACAAGGATCTGAGCTAAAGATATGAATTTGGGAAGAACTGAATTCAGGCAGTTTGCTAATGGGAAAGGAAGGAAGGGTTGGCAAAGTTATGTGTATCTTTTCTGCCCCTAAAGGGAGAACAAGATGCAAATGAAAATCCCACAGTACTTGGAATTGATCACTAGTATGGATTCCTAAGAAAGATGCTGAATTAGTGGGAAAATCTCATTAATTTACTAAAGGCAGCTTTGCTTGGCCCAGAGAGCCAGTATCTTCCAGTAGCAGGCAGACGGAGCCCTGTGCAGATCCAGTTGCACAGAGCCACCCTTTCCACCCTGCCAGGCCTGGCCAACGATGGCATGACCTTTCAAAGAGGGACCTTTGCCCAGCACATGGTAAAGAAGGCTTAAAAAGAAAAGCTCCCTAGACTCACCTGAATCGCATTGCCAAACCTTTCCCAGGATGATTTCACAGGGTGAAATTTAGCAGCAGATTCAATGCTTCTAAAAATTATTTTTCAAGGGAAGTTGACCTGTTCTACTCCAACAGCATTCATACCTTCCTAACACTTTTTTTTTCTTTTTTTTTTTTTTTGAGACAGAGTTCCGCTCTTGTTGCCCAGGCTGGAGTGCAATGGCATGATCTCAGCTCACTGCAACCTCTGCCTTCCAGGTTCAAGCGATTCTCCAGCCTCAGCCTCCCAAGTAGCCAGGATTACAGGCAGCAGCTACCATGCCTGGCTAATTTTTGTGTTTTTAGTAGAGACGGGGTTTCACCATGTTGGCCAGGCTGGTCTCAAACTCCTGACCTGAAGTGATCCCCCCGCCTCAGCCTCCCAAAGTGCTGGGATTACAGGCATGAGCCACTGCGCCCGGCCTTCCTAACGCTTTTTAGATCTGTCTCAGTCCACATGGAGAGTCCATGTGGCAGCATCACCATAAGCAAAGTGCTTCTCCCTGAGTCCAGCACTGAGTTCCTCAAGGGAACATTTTTTTCCAAGGGCATAGATCCTCTGCAGGTACTTTCTTTAAAAAGGTTATTAACAAGGGAGGTAGAATAAAATAGCAGGGGCTGGGCTGAGCAAAGAGAAGGAAAACGGGTGGGGTGTTACAGTGTGCAACCAAACAGGGTGGGGCTGAGGCTGCCTGTCAAGTACATGAACCTACTTCAATCCCAGACATTTAGATGGCAAATCAAGCCCACATTTTGGGGCTAAAATTTATTTGTTCTTGGCTGAGGAATATTTCAGGTTTTCAAAAAGGACAGAAGAAATGAGAAATCAGAACCCTAAAGGTCTTATTCTTCAATGACACTCAAATTCTTCTATCAAGAGAAAAGCATCAGAAATGTACACATTTTCCCAAAACATCTCCACCCACAGCACAAACACACTTTTAGATTACCAGAAAGAGTTTTCCCAGAAATGGCCACTTAGAACATTAACTAATGAAAGAGAAAAATAGCAAGCTCATCTTCACAGTTGACTCAAGACCCATTTCATTCCAACTTCTGGCCAAATAGAAAAGTCAAACTAGGAAGGGTGTGCTAGCATTTTCTAAGTACAGAGACAAAACAGCAGCAAAACTATTCTTCTTTTCTTTTCCCCTTTCCTTCCAATTTCCTACAATAATCAAGTTCTGATGAGGGATCTTTAAGAACCACCAACTGGGCCACCAACCTTGAAGGAATCCAGACCCCGGGGACAAGCTTAGGCTAACACAAGAAACCAGCTGTTAGCCTCACAGGGGCATTTGAGATCTTGGGGTTAGCACTGTTAGTAAGCCCAGCTGAAGCTAAACTCTGGGTATTTTTACAGATTAGAATTGATATAAAAGTATCCTTGAGTTTTTATCACTTTACAGTTTACAAAGAGCTTCCATATATTTCAGTTCCTCCTCACCACCACACTGTGGGGTTTACCATGCTGTGTTACACATAGAAAAACTGAGGCCCGCAGAGGTGGAGAAACCCAAGAGAGCAATGTTAGAAACCTCCAGAGCTAGGACCAAAATATAGGTCTTTAAGTCCAAGCCAGCTGTCATATCCCAGGTGCTGAAGAGAGAATAGGGATCCGGCGAGATGAGGGAGGAGACATACGTTAGGAAGCACAAATGCCTAGAAGAGTCATGCTAATAAGGCACCTGTAGTGAGCATTTTCCTGCTGGAAACACAAATCCCCCTGTCACATGCTGTGTCACCAGCATTTACTAACATGCATTCTGCAGGGTCAGGTGATTTCCCCTCTTTTTCCCTCTCTGGCTAAGCCCAAGAACAATCCAACCTGTTTACCATGACTGGTTCCCCATCAGGGATACAACTAGTGCACCGAGGCAAGAAAGAGATGTGGTCCACACTTCCTACACCAACTGACCATGCCCACATTCTACGATGAAAGTCACGATGCTCCCGTGGTCTTCTTGTCACTTAGCTCTCTGGATCACAGAACTGTACAGACCAGTACTTCTCAAACTTGGATGAATTGCCTGGGGATCTTGTGAAAAGGCTGATTCTGATTCAGTGGGTCTTAGGTAGGGTCTGATATGATGCATCCCTAACAAGCTCCCAAATGCTTGCTGCTGGCTGAGGACCACACTTTGAGTAGCAAGAAGATGGAGACTGTCAAAGCTAGAGAGACCATAGAGATCATCTTTCTCAGTGCCTTTCACACTGTGTTTTCCTGGGAAGTTCTGATAAGGTATTTCAGGAGATCACTTGAAAGACAAGGAGGAAACCAAGGGTCCCCCTGTACCTTTACTTTAAGCAGAATTGCTGTTTTCTCTTTCTAGAAAATGGAATTCCTTATAAAATTTCATTTGATAAATGGGTTCCTTTATTTTTATAAGTTTGAAAGCTACCACTTTAATATAACAGCCTCATTTTACAGAAGAGGAGCTTAAGAATAAGAGAAGGCAGGTGAGTCACATGAGGTGACACAGCCAATTGGTGGCCAAGCCAAATCAGAATCCTGGGCTCTTTTCCCCACTCTACTCTTGCTCTCTGTGGGGGAAAATTTCAAATGTCATAATTCCGTGGTTTCTCCTCTTTCCCTTAAGCTTACCAAAGTAAACCCACCAGAATCCAGCAACACCTCAGTCCTCAGCAGGTGGATGCCCTGCCTCTCCCTACTGAGGGCTGGCTCTTCACAACTGCCCTGCCATCCCCACCTGACAAGTCAGGGCAGCCAGTGGAGGAGGGAATAAGCTTACTGAAGCAAGGCAAAAGTAAGACACGTTCCCAGAGGCAGGACTGGGGCCAGCTGTGGAATTATTCCACAGAGGGCAGGTGTGTGCTTGCAAGACCTCAGAATTCCTTGTCTCCAAGGAGGGGCCCAATTGACTCATCAGGGTACTTCCAGACAGTTTACTTCAAGCTGATTTGCAGCCGGCATGCTGGGGCAGCTGCAGGGCCCCAGCTGTACAGGAGGATTTGTCACCAGCAGGAGCAAAGCAGGAGCTGGGGGAAGTGTGTGGAGGCAGGGGAAAATCCCAGTGAAGGGGATATCTAGTACAAAGCCTGTGACCATGAAAGATCAGGCAGTCTGATTGTGAGGCCAGCAAGATTGGGCCAAGAGCAATTTAAGGAAAACAGAAGACATGGTCCCCTGACCCAAGGACTCTACAATCTGGATAGACTGTGAAAAGGTTACTAATATATGTGAAACAATTAGTGGACACTGCAAAACAGCATATAATTAAAAGCTAAACTGAGGGCTTCAAATGTAACAGACACAGGTCATAGCAAAAAAAAAAGACCACCTTTGACTGAGACATCTGGGGAAGAAAACATGAAGAAGGCCACACAGCAGCATAGAGGATGGGTAGAGCAAGACAGAAGGAAAGAAATAAGCCAGGGATGGCTGTCCACATGGTCAGAGGAACCAGTGTGCTGTCATTAGCATCTAGAGGGTGCAACGTGAATTCAATCTTCAGGAGTCAAGTGAGAGCATGACTGGCTGGGGATCAGACTCCTCCTTGCAGAACCATGACTGATCCAATCAAGCCCAGCCCAATTCCAAACTGTCTCTGCATTTCCACAGGGCCCTTCTAATTTCCTGAACTATCAGGCAACTCCAAGAATCCTGCTAGGATATTAGCAACAGGAGCAGCACTGAGCTCCACTTCATGGTGGTCGTGAGCCAAGGTCAAGATTACATGTCAAAAAATTAATATCCATTCATTTTCTGGCTCTGGCTAAAGCTTCTTCATCCAAAAACTTGAATATACCCAGAGAATAGAATAAGATCAGCCCCAGGAAAGACACCAACCTCAGAGATTCAGAGAGGATGAATGCTTTGTTGGAAACCACTCAGTCAATTAAGAAGGAGAAATCCATCGCCACATCTCTTCTTCACATTCCTCTCTCTAGTTTGACCCCAACTAAAGAGCAAAAATGAGTCTTGTTGAGCTTTCATCTCTGACTCACAGTCTTCCCACATCTATATTTCTGAGGTAGGTAAGTCTGAGTGAAACCCACCAACCAAGGATGCTCTGCTCAGCCTAAAACCTAAGAATGGAATTGCCAAACTCTCTACTTCCTGCCTCACCACCCCATCACTCACCTCCCTGGAACCATCATTTGACCCTACACTGTTCTAAGTCAAATCAACTCAGCAGCCTGGCATTCTTCAAGGTCATTAAAATTCCCAGGGGTTGTGGACAACATGTTATGGGGCCTGTTCCTTGACCCCGGCTTCAATCTGACCCACCTCAAGATTATATATTTTCCTCTGTCCTTCAGCAACCTGACTTCGGTCCTTCCCAAAGTCTACAACCACTTGAGGAGCTAAAGTTCTACATTCAGAATCATCTGAGACTGTTAGAGCTGACAGGAGCCTTAGAGTCTGTCTTCTCCAGCCCTGCCACTTGACAAACAAGGAAACCAAGATCCACAGATGTGAAGCGACTTGTCCAGGGTCACACAGATCCTTGGTAGTAGGCATGGACTAGAATCCAGGCCTCCTAATTCCCAGGCCACAGGAAGTTTGAATTACCTTATGAGAAGATGGAATTATTGTCCAATACCCTGGCTGGCCTCCACTTCATCACATCCCTTGAAACATTTGCAAGTGAAGACGTGCAACTGATGACCACATTGCCTATAAAGGATCTTGGTGGTGGGAAGGAAATTAGCCTTGACCAGCTGTTTCATTTTATTTCAGTTTATTTTAATGCATCAGCCAGAGATGATGATGGCCCTGACCTAGATGGCACACTTATATTGCATCGTCACCTCAAAAAGGAAGGCAAGGCATATTGAAGGGAAGCCTGTCCAAACTGCCTCATTAAAGAGTGAAATGGCAAGGCAGAGCTTTTTAACATCTTGGATATATCTTGCAACAATTGTGTTATTAATTCAGGTCACTCCCTGATACTTCTTTTCAGACATTCAAACCACTCATTGTCTGCAGCCTTTTTGTCAAGCCCTAAGCAACAGAAATCCCACGCTCACTCCATCTTCAACTCTGCTGGGAACAGTCTGTGTGGATCTGGCAGGCTGTTGTGAGTGAGATGAGCACTGGGATGAAAGCCCAGGACACCTGGGTTTATTTGTTATTCACTGAGTGACCTTGAGCAAGTCAATTCACATCTCCGCATTTCTCCTATGTGGGAGAGTTAAATTGAAGGTAGAAAAGTAGATAAAACAAACTCCTCAGGTGCCTTTCCATGTAAGGGGTCTACAACACTGACTGATATTAATAACATTTGTCTGCTTCCATTTAAGGCAGAATAAGAGCATGGGAAACTAACCATTAATGGACATTCACTATGTGCCACAGACCATGCCAGGGCTCACACCAGCCTATGTCATGGTATCATGTAAGCCCCAGATGTGGAGACAGTGATCTAAAACGTTAAGTTGCTCATCCAAAGTCACACAGCTGGTGGACAATGGAGCCAGGGTTTAAATATGTTTCTTCAACACAAAAGGACTAACTTTTTGTGCTACATCACCCTGCCTTCAATAAAAAATGAGTTCATATTGCTGAGAGGTGGAGCGGGGGCGGGGTGGGGATTGAGAGAGAGAGAGAGAGAGAGACAAAGATACAAATTCAAATGCCAGCAGAGTCAAGAAGTTTCAGTAAACGAGTGATGAGCACTGGAAAGTAAATTGTGAATTAGTTGCCCCCTCTAAAGTATCACAGAGATTCAAGTCCAGCAAGTGTAGTAATGAAGGAATTCAGGCCCTGGATGGCCAGATTTTTTTTTCCTTTTTCGTTTTTGAAGGGAGGCTGAAATCCAGATTTTTATGTGAAATCTCCCAGTTCTTATCTGTGGCACCTAAGTCACAAAAACTCTAAACATCATGCAGGCCAAATAGTATAAGCCCATGCCCAGATTCAAGCACACAGTTTGCAAACTCTGGACACTCAGAATAATCTCCTAACCATAGGAATGGGAGAGACCGAGACATTTCACTTTGGGACTCTGTACCACCTTCTCTCTGGATTTCCTTTTTAGAGAAAATGAACTTTCTGGAATATTCAGAGCTAGGGCACTGTGATTAAACCAACCCCACTAAATTGCTAGAGCTCACACCAGCAATTCTCTTCTCTCTTATGGAGTGAGGTGGAGGGGGGCAAACATACACTCCACTAAAGCCAGCAGAAGTTCTCTTTTTTTCTAATAAGCAACAAATTATTTGAGGGGACTTGGTTGAAAACTAGTTCTACCCCTATAGTTAAATCCAATTATACCATAATTACAGGGAGTCTGCACACATCAGAGCTTAGTTGGGAAAGAATAGGAACACCACAGTTCTTCAAAACGCTGGCCAGAGGTACCCCTGTAATTTCACCAACTGTTGTCCTGGCGGAACCTTCATGGGAAAGAAGACACATGTGGCTCTTGATTTTCAATCAGAGGACAACCCACTGAAAGCTCCTTCACTGCTGAGTGGCGTTGGCTCACTTATGGATTTAAAGAAGACAGGCATAGGGAGATGTCTCTTATTTTGTTTAAACCCGGCCAGAAAATGAGTGGGCTCGTATTTCCAAGTCCAAATAGGATTAAGCACTAGGTCTGTTGAGAAATAGGAAATTATCATTTCTACATTCTTACTATTTCCTACTTTTAATATTTTTTTCTTGAGTGTGAGTGGGAAGGGGGCGTCCAGATTTTTTAAGCTTTAAATCAGAAATTACAAGAAAAGCTATTACAAATATCTCTCATTCATTGTGAAAGAGCCTACTTACTTATCCATTTTTCCATTCTCACATGGACCTATGGCCCTCAAATTTGAGGGAGATTGTAAATTGTTTCTGTTGGTTATAATAGGAATAAGAAGCAGAAGAGCCTACTAAAGCTTAAAAGGTTTGATGTGTGCAATGTTATAACTGAAATTTTTGTTAAATAATATTCTTTTGCTGAAAGTCCAAGGGCATGTCTATTCTTCTGCTGAAACCTTTTCAATTGCCTTTGCAAAAACTCAAGGTTTCACTCAGAAGAGAACACCTAGCATCGTGCCTACTGAGGTTAAATATTCTCAGGCTTTCACTGAGAACAGTGTTGATTTTGCAGAAGTAATATCATGCTCTAATTCCTCTCTAATCCCCATTTCATTTTTGTTACAAAATACATGACTGAAAAGAAGGGAAGTTTTAGTTAATTCACTAAGCGGTATTAAATCCATGCCGTGGTGCAGCCTGTTTTGCTAGGTTCTGTACGAAAGAGAGAAATGGCTGAGTCTGAAAATGGAATGGGGAGGGGAGGGGTAAAATCCCTAGCCTGGGGAATCCAAAAAACCTCTTTTTTCAAATGGAGACTCGAATACTTACTGGTTATGTTACCTCATACAAGTTATTCAACCTCTGTTTGCTCATTTGAAAAAGTCTGTGCCGTGAGGATTACAGGAGCAAAATATGAGAAAAATGCTGGCCTAATAATAGTAGGAGAAGCACTGAGATGGTTAGTGGACTCCAGCCCACCTCTGAAGGCAGGCACAGCCTAGCCAGGGAAACAGCGGCACCCATCTTTCTGCCACACAGAGCAGCACCAGGGCCGGGAGGCCTGCATGGAGCCATGTGAGCAGAGACCAGGAAGGGGGGCCAGGGGCTTACTATTAGGTAGCATTTCAGAAGAATGTTCTGGATGGAGGCAGGAGTATGACAAAACATAGATTGACAAAACACTAGACGGCATCTCTGAGGAACAGAAGGCAGCCCTGTGAGACTGGAGTTGTGGTTGTGGGACCAGAATCAGAGACCCGCCGGTGCCTCAGCAGCCCCTGCCCCAGGATGCTGTATTATTGAGGAGCAAAGTGGCTGACAGCTGGCCCTGGGGAAGCCTGGACATTTCACACAACAGGGAGAACCAATGGAGGGGGAAAGTTGGGTCAGGTGTGCTGGTGAATGCCTAACAACTGGCTCTCAGGAACACTCTGGTTTTGTAGCGTAGTATAAGCTTTCTCACCACGGCTGATTTCAAGCTACCAACATGTTCAACAACCAGATGGCAAGCTGTTTCCTGGAATTTTAACAACTGACTCTCACAAGCAGGTATTAGTTAGCTGCAGTCAGCATCCGGATTGGGCTGAGGAAAACTAGGGGAATTCCAGCCAGGTCCTCAGCACCCAACAGTGAACCCGGAAACCAGGAACACCCAGAAGCTTCTGCATTTTACCATTTTGGAATCTCAGTTGTGATAAACATTCATGATGACTGTGAAGCTCTTCATAGCTTTTGGGGGATGCCCTCATGTGTTATCAGGCGTTGCAATTATGCCCCTTTGACAGAGGAGGAAGCAGAGCATTGGAGTCCATATGATGACTAAATTGCATAATTAGTAATTAATGGAGTCTGGACTCAAACCTAATCCTATTGTCTCCAAATCTGCTCTCTCCCCCATCACCCCCAGCCCCAGAAGAGTTCCGCTGCCCAACACCCTTTTCATTCCAGTTCAGTAAAAGCGATGAGCATCTCTTCCCTAGCTCCTCCCATTCTAAGTTTCAAATGACAATAAATAGATTTAGGCCAAAGGTCCTCCTAGTCCTCCAAAAGCAAATCTCAGAGTGAAGGCTGAAACTGGGTCCTCTTCTTTCCCAGCTCTCAAACCCCAAACTCCTCACATGTTTCTCTCCCGGCCCAGGAGGGGATGACAATCTCATCACCTACAAACAATTTGCCTAAGTCCTGCTGCATATTCCTACTTATTAAATTGTAGGATTATCCCATTCTGCTGCAGCGACAGAGCTCTGTGACTGCTTTATTGCTGTATTGCTCAGAACTGCTGAACTCAGCACCAAAGCTCACTTCTCCAGGACTCCAGCAGAATGGATGAGCTGGCACCTGTCAGCACGTTCTGAGAGCAGAGACCTGCACTGTGAGCCCCAAAATGATTCTCCAACTGAAGATCTAGGTTTCGAATTGCTTTGTCTAAGGGTTGCAGGTATGAGAAGAGAGGCCCAAACTTGGTTTGTTTCCCCTCCAGCAGCTTACCAAGTGTTTGTTAGGAACCTTTCATATAAAAGTTTTGCAACTACCCAACTCTCCCCTTCTTCCTACCTCATCCATTTGGCCCACATAATCTCCCTTGTGTGACTATTAGGCAAGCCAGGCTGAAATACTCTGGCATTGTAATTAACTTGAAACTAGCTGCGTGCACACATGTGTGCATGTGCAAACACACACACACACCAGCTTTCCCTGGTACTGAGCTAAGCAGCCTGGTGGCCTCACAGTCTGCCTGCCTCTACAAGCTCAGTGGTCATTTTTTCCCCTTTAAAACTTGCCCCTCTCCTGCCAATCTTCCCTCTTTATTTAGCAAACTCTAACTGGTATCTCATGAAACATACAAAAAAACTTGGTGAAGCAGCCAACAGAGATTGCCAAACGTGATTACTTGCATAGATCCATCTTGCAAAGATGATGAAGAAGAGTTTGGCTTAGATTTTTTCCTCAGAGGCAGTGTGGGCTCCTTCAATCCCCTTTCCATCCTTCACTCCAGGCCCCCCAGGTGGTAAATCAGTATTTGCCCAGTGATCCAGAGTGGAGCTTGCATTTTTTAAAACTTTTACTTAGGAAGAAGTCAACCCTGCTCATTCCAACTCAGACCTACTATCCCAAAGAAGTCCCCACATCGAATTTGCTCCTTTCTCCAGTTGGCACATTTCCTCTAACATTTTATAGTTCAACTAGGTGTCACCTCCTCCATGAAGCTGTCCTGATCTATAGGGCTCCTCTCTATAGGGCTCCTCCTTATGGGCTCCTGCAGAGCCTCTCATGGGGCAGGGGGGATGACTATTGCACTTGCCCCTTCCTATTGCAGCACCTGTCACCTAGCTGCCTCCCTCCCCACACCCACTGGAAAATCTGGAAAGTGTTTGTGTTCAGGGGCAGGGACTTAGTTTTCTATTATCTCCAGCACCTGGTAGAATACCTGGCACATAATAAGCACTCAATAAATATTAGGTGAAGATGCAAATTAACAAACGCTACCTGTCTCTCTTCTGCAGTTGCCGCAGGCTGTAATTTTCCAAATTTTCCTAATCTAATTCCCCAAATCAAGACAGCCACGAGTTAAGGACTGAAGGTGCAAACTACCCCCAGTTCAGTGCTTCTGGATCTCCCTCTGGAGTGTTTAATAACATGAACTGTTTCGACTTATCAAAGCTTCTTCTATTAAGAATTCTCCCCCAACCAAACCCTCTGCTTTCCTAAGATGGTACTCGGATGTTAATTTAGAAAAATTAGAACCCAAACAAGCATTCTCAGTGGAGACAGAAGTCCCCTGATCCCAGAAGGCTTGCAGGCAAGTTGGAGAAATTGTTGTGGTGCTTTATAGGCGCTGATAAATGCGTGGAATGGCCAGAGTAGCAGAGCTAAAGACAAAATGACTGCTTTCAAGTGCTACAATGTCCCCTGGGCTCCCCTTTCTATCTTCAGCAGGGGGAGGAGAAAGGTAGGCCCTGGGGTTTTTTCCTCACTTGAAGGACTAGGTTAGGCCTGGGTGAGGGGGAGGTGTGGGGGTGGAAGGGGCCAGGGAGAGGGGAATGTAAACGGCAGGCTTCAACTTGCATCACTCTCTCTACACTCTCCAGAGAATAAGCCCATCTCAGAAAATGAAAATGAGGGGCCTCCAGCCCCACCCCAGAAATACAGCAGTGGGCAGTGAGCTGTCAGATCTATCAGATCCCCTAGAGTAAATAAACATCAAGGGATAGCTCCTGAAGATCTGAGACAGGTACTGATCCACATTGGCGTCTAGAGGAACCAGGAGAGTGAAGGGGAGGAGTATTAAACCCAGACCTCAAGTCTCCTCATCAACAGAGGCTCACATCTCCCATTCAGGCCTGTCTTCATCTTCACCCAGCCAACAAATGGTTTTTGAGCACCTATTACATGCTAGGTACTAGGAATATCGGGCTTTCTTTTCTTTTAAAAAGCTTACACTCTAGTAAAAGAGAAAAACAAAAACTCAGTAACTACAATACGATGTGCTACAGAGGTACGCACAGATCACACATGTTATGTGCAGGGTCGGGGTGTGGCTTCAGGAAACAGCCAATCTGCAGAGACCTGGCTAATGATGACCACACCAAACTCAACTTCTGGCTGGACAACACTTACACTGAGTGAATCAACGGAAGAAATGCAATGAAGTGGAAGCAGAGGTGCATTCAAGGTGGGAGGAAGGGGCCTGGGTTTGCTTTATGAACTTGGGTTTAGGCCTTTGGCCCCACTTGTTCAGATTGGTGTTCTGCACTACCTGGGTGTGTGCAAGGTCTGGGAGTAGGAGGTGATAAGCTGCCTGGTCCTTCCACTTACTCCTTGGGTGGAGATTTTGCCTCTTTCAGACTGTATTGACTCCAGAATCATCACAGTTTCTGCTGTTGTTGTTGCCTGCCTGTGTCCTCTGTGCTCACTTTTTTTTTTCTCCTTCAGGTTTGTATTGACCCCTCTTAAAATGTGGAGCCCACAAATCAATGTAATAACCAGGTATAATATGATCAGTGAAGAGTAGAGTAAAACTATTATCTCCCATCTCCTTTATTTTCTGTTTCATATTTCTAATGATGCAATCAAAGAAAGAATGTGCTCTTTTGGTAGCCATATCACACCACTGAGTCCCACGAAACTTACCATCAGCTCACATCCTAAGGTTTTTTTCTTCTTTTTGAGGTGGGGTCTTGCTCTGTCACCCAGGCTGGAGTACAGTGGTGCAATCTCAGCTCACTGCAACCTCTGCCTCCCGGGTTCAAGCAATTCTCTGCATCAGCCTTCTGAATAGCTGGGATTACAGGCACCCGCCACCACACCCGGCTAATTTTTTGTATTTTAAGTAGAGACGGGGTTTCACCATCTTGGTCAGACTGGTGTTGAACTCCTGACCTCTTGATCCACCCACCTGGACCTCCCAAAGTGCTGGGATTACAGGAGTGAACCACCACACCCGGCCGTTTTTTTTTTCTATTTATAAGTGCTGTCAAATCACATCTTCCCCCACTCTACATTTGTGTAGACCCTGACCAGTGGCTGAAAGAGTAGCATGCATACTTCCCAGTTCTGGATCCTAACCAAGAAATGTCTCAGGGAGAGGTCCTCCCAGCTCCTCAATACATGTAACAAAGCTGTAAACCTGGATCAGGAGAAGGCTGGTGATGAAGTTCCAGTCTACAGGCACCCCAAGGGCCATCCCCATTATGGTCATGGACCCTGATGTCCCCAGCAGCTTCCTGGGAACACACTGCTTCCCTACAACACACTGTCCTTACTGTTTCACCCCCAAGAGTCCAGTCCACTCCAAATGTTGTGCAGTGGAACCTAGGTAGCTTATCTTTTGGTGTTCTTCCCCTATAGAAATAACCGCGGTTGATTCAACAGACCTTTATTGAAGACCTCAGGCACAGTGCTAGGCATGGAGGGGAAGCTGCAAAGTTAGATGAGCTTATAAGCAGAATTTAGTCAGAGAGACCCATACCTAACTCTAATGCTAACCACGTGTTAAAACACTTTGGAGAATTTCAGGTCTTTTATCTTTTTCTTCAAAAACTGAAGATGTGGCAGTTAGTTTTGGGGCTGGAAATTTGAGCAGAGAGAATGGCAGAGTCTTTTCAGGAGCCAGAAATGCATGTGAGGACCAAGAACTTCTAACAGTAGAGGAACTCTGGCTGGGGTAGTTGAGGGGGAGGAGAAATGAGGATCAAGGGGGCATACAGTGCATGAAAACAAAAGGTGAGGCCCAAGATCAGCCAAAGTGAGTAAACCACGGTTACCATGGCTACTCTTCAGTGGAGACGGAAGGAAGCCCTGTATCCTCCCCTTCCAACCACACTACGCTGTTCCACTCCCCATCTCCATCTCCTGTACCCCAGACACACTCAGGCAAGCACAGCACCACCCTGGATGACTCTGCGGAATGCCTCTCAGAGACACGGAACTAGAAACCTAGGGGAAGAGGGACATCAAGGCTTTTGCCTCACAAGCTGACTCTGGAACAAAGAGCCAGGCTGAGGGGCTGGAAGAAGAAACTTCCAGCAGAGCCACCCAGATATGCTTCCCCCACCCTCTAGACCTTCCACACCAACCAGTGTCCAGTCAGTCCACAGAGCATCCTCCTGGGCTGTGGTGACTGAAGTTGAAGGGAAGAAAATATAATAATAATTTTGGGCAGGTCGTCTTTCTTTACTGTATTGGATGGATATAGAATCAATAAATCTATAGGTTTATCCCATTTTTCTGAACAAATTTAGAGGTCAAAGATGAACCCTCAAGGGGACAGAATATGACCAGCAGGACTATTGATATCGTCTGCCCTAGGCACTCCTCCTTACCCTCCTCTCCCCTATATTTTGGGGGCAGTCATATTCCTCAGCAGTCAGTTGCTCTGCCTCCAGTCCTAACTGGCTTCTGAAAAACAGTTCTGGTCCATTCATTCCCTGTCTCGAGACTTCCGGAGCTTCCTGACCTGTGAATGAAATCCACAGGCCCATCACAAGATGGCTGCGCTCTCCAGTCCCCGGCACCCCAGGCTGCTCTGAACATGTGAGAGCTCCTCCCTCAAGGCCTGAATTTTCGCAGGTCTTCATCACACTCAGCCCGCCATCATTTTTTCAGATTCAGTTCCAATATGTCACTCTGTCTGTAGAGCCTTCCCTGAATCTCACAGACAAATGCGGCAGTTCCCTTTGTGGGGGATATTCATCATGTTTTTCCTCATTGGCCTATGTTTTTGCCTCTTCTTGTAGATGTCCATCTAGGCTGGGAGCTCCTAGGGGGTAAACGCAGCCTCTCACTCACCTGGCACAGAGTCGATGCTCATGGAATGATACGTGATGGGGAGAGTGAGTAAGTGAATGAATGAATGAATGCTATTCTGGAAGGAAGAGGGAGAGAGGGAGCAGGGAAAGGTCAGAAGGGGGCCCAGAGTCTTCAGCACACAATGTGGGTGTATCACTGTGGCCAGGAACAATTCGCTTCTCTGCCTGCATTACTTTTTGGGAAATGGGAGAGCTGAGGCTCAGTGTAGGCAAACTGGGTCCAGTCAGCAGGGAAGCCATGAGCTCCACGGTTTAGGGGAGGAGTCCGGTGCTTAAGGAAGCTATCACGTGGAAGATCTCCCTGCCCTCCTCCTATTGGTCTGTATTGGTTTTTCTTCTTCACCAGTGGAGGCTTTTCTTCTCCCAGGAAGAATCCAGAATAGTTCAGACAAGCTTCAGGTCCGCCAGAACCGGGGAAAACAACGTGTAGGGTTTGTTTTAAAGGGCTTTTAAATGGGGTTTGGGAGATCCAGGTAGATTAGAATCTTGACTCTGCACTGGCTGTGCAAGACAGAAATTCACCTTTCAAAACTTCTGTTCCCCAGTCTATGCGGTAAGAAGTTTAGATTAGCTGATTTCTAGGGAGATTTTGGGCAGGCATGATTCAGTTCCATGAAGGGCTGTGGGACAGGACTGCACTAAGAGGTCCTATAGATTGGATTCTTCAGTTCCCTCCCTTCCGCTGGAGAATAGAGGAATCTGCCTTCGCTGCACACTAGATTTACCTGGAGAACAAATGGAAAGCAGGCCAGGATCCTGGGTGAAATGTGGCACATTTGAGGAGACTTCAACTTCCCTTGCCCTCCAGGTGTGCACTTGGAAGGGGGAACGAGGGAGGGGGAAGCTGGCAAGATGGGCCGAGAGATAGGGGAGGGGCAGGAGGCGGAGCCCAAGTTGCGCATGGAAGCGGGGGTGGGGTAAAATAATCAAGTTTATAGACCGCCCTCTTTAAAGTTACTAATGAGCTTGCCTTCTCTTTCCTTAATTTCCCCTCGCAGTGTGGTCTTTTCCCCACCCCCAGACATGAAAGGGAAGCAGGTCACAAAGCCTTTCGGATTATAAAAGAAACACTTGCTTCTCACAAGGGGAGCAGCAGACTTACTCTGTACTAAATGCCAGGATAAGCCTCTGGCTGGGCCTCGACTGTGACCCTCCGGCCTCTTTCTACAGCTCTGCCTGGATGGACTGGCCTATCTCTGCTGGATTCCCGAAGTGCATTGTGTAGAGACAGCAACTCAGGTCAGGCTAAAAGCTCAAGCAAGCAAGCGCGCACACACACGCGCGCACACACACACACACACACACAAACACTCAGCTTCCTTAGGACAAGATAAAATCTTAGCATTCCCCTCTCCCCGATTAGGTAGGTCTCTGGGAGGACTAAGGCTTCAGGTGCAAGGCTCAGATAACCTGCAGTGTCTCTCCAACTCTGGGATGACAAAGACCTCACTTCCCTTTTCTGGTGTTCACACAACAATGAGAAAGTACGGGTAGCCTGCAGAAAGACCTCTCCATTCATGGTCCCCCAGGGGTGTGGGTTCTGAGAGGTGGGACCAGCTGCCAGGCCCTTTCTCCATTGGTTGAGTTCAGCAGGTAACCTGAAGCTTTGCTGAGAGGTGCATAAATAAAGAGTGAAACTAGTACCACCTCCTTGAAATGGGCTGAGTCCCTCTTGCTCACCCTTGACTTGGAAAAACCAGTTTCTCTTTTATTGTCTGTTACTAATCTCTATTCTAAAAATTCAGCTCAATTCTCAACCATACTCCAAACTCTCTCTTTTCCAGCTACCTTTACTCCCTCTCCTTCAATTCCACTTTCCTCTGCTTACTTTTTTTTTTTTTCTGACAGGGTCTCACTTTGTCGCCCGGGCAGGAGTGCAGTGGCTCAATCTTGGGCTCACTGCAGCCTCAACCTCCCAGGTTCAAGCGATTCTCCTGCCTCAGCCCCTCAAGTAGCTGGGACTACAAGCGCACACCACCACGCCTGACTAATTTTTTGTATTTTTTTGTAGAGGCGGGGTTTCACCATGTTGCCCAGACTGGTCTTGAACTCCTGAGCTTAAGCAATCCACCTGCCTCGGCCTCCCAAAGTGTTGGGATCACAGGCGTGAGCCACCGCATCCGGCCTCATGTTCTTTTTCATTAAAGAGAGAAATCAACTATTCAGGACCGGCCCCCACCTTTCCTCAGGAGTCATTTCTGTTCCGCACAGGCCTGCTGAACTGGGTGCTTTATATAGGGTAAGTGTTTCTCATTTTTTGTTCCCTGTCCTCAAGCCTTAGGGGCAAAAGAAACATCCAAGATTTGAAATTTCTTTTCTTCTTCTCATCTGCATGGCTGTAGCCATCTCTCTGTTCTGCATTATCTTATGACAAAAAAAAAAAATTCTTATTTTGAAGCAAACTCAAAGCTAGGTCCTGATGTCTCAAGGCACAGGTACTCGTACTTAAAGGTGAGTCTGAAATCTGTGGATTTGGGGAACTTTGGAAAAACAAAGATGAGTGGCTAGATCAGGGGGCTCATTGGGCAGGAAGAGGAGACTGGAAAATGCCATATTCACTGCAAGTCAATTATCAACTTCCTCCAAGGCTAAAATAGCTGAACCTGCTGCATTTTAAACCAATCCTCAGCCACTTTGGTGTTTTCTCAAGGATTTCCAGGGATCCCAGGCAGTAAATTCTGCTGATAATAGGAATTGGTGTGATAAGGTGGGTGCTGAGCAGTTTAAGCACCAAGATTGTAGCTCTGTCTGGTTTTGTGGAGATTTACTCAACTAGAAGAACAGAGATTTGGCTGGTTTTTCAGTCCTGGGGTGCAGGGTGCACCTGTACTGGAAAATTTAGGACGTGGTTTCATTCTTTGAGTCTCATGTTCAAGTTGGTTTTAATGTTATGAAGACACTTGGGACGTAATCCTGAGGGCAGCTGGGGGGAAGAAAGTGGTCACTGGATGGACTTACCCTGTAGCGAGCCCATGCATGGTTTGTTCTCTGATCGTGCATGTGCTTGGCTCTAGACCCATGTAACCATGGTGAAGGCCACTGGGGGATTCAGTTGGCAAAGGCATAGTGGGCAGAAGAATCTTGAACAAGGAGTCCAGAGCAGGTCAAGTCTCCTGATACAGGTTGTGACTCATGGTTTTTTGTCTCTGCCTGTAGCAGCTACAGGTCTGTAAAGCAAGGGGAGAGTGATAAGGAAAGAACTCACCTTTCTGGGGCTCTCTGACATTAATGCCACCTCCCATTTGCTTTTTGCAGACACTGTCATCTCTCAAGTACCCATCTTGGAGGGTACGGACCCCACATGAGGGTGAGGCTCTCTGCACACTCCAGAGTGAGGACTTTAATAATCTAGTGGACTGTACATGTTGGGAGGGGAAGAGCGGGGTGCCGAGGGTCTGGAGGGAGAAGAATTGACTGCCCCTTTTGCTCTTGGAGTTAAGCAGAAATCTAAAGAGAAGGCAAAGAATCTTGCCTTCCTGGCATCATTTCCTCCTACCATCCCAGGCCATCATTTATTTATTACAGCCAACAGACTGGCCTCTTTCTTCCCTTTGACTGGGAATGGGTCAAAGGCGGTGCAGGAGGAGGATCTGGTCCAGATAATTCACAAGCAGGGTGCATTTTCCTCTCATTATTGAGAACTGTGAGTGTTTATCAAGAAGGCAGAGCAGGAGAAGATGAACCAGTCTTCTTCCCCTCACTACCCAGATCTCTGCCTGCCAACAAGCCCCGTGTTCACCCTGGCAAAGAGTCTTTACATTCAGACCAAGGAGAGTGTGACTCCTTCTCAGCACTAGCTAGAAACCTCAAGCCCTTGCTTAAGGGCCTTTTTCAGAGAGACCCAATGCCCAGAAGGCTAGATGCGTGGGGAGGAGCCACATACGAGAAACTGCCTCCCTGCTTCGGGTCAGAACAAGCCCCAGGAAGAAAGTATTTCAAACAACAAGGTGCATCTGCCCCAACCCATCCAGCCTGCATGTTGGTGCTGAGAACAGCCTTTTATGGGGCTTGCACTGAGCCATGGGCATGTCTGAACACAACAAGGAAGAGGCCAGAGCAGCAACAGCACGCAAAGGGTTGATGGGCATTTCTTTTAAGACAGAGCAGAAAACTCTTAGATACTTTGCGTCCTTCCTATTTGACTCAGTCTATGAAAGCCAGGTTAGCTTGCTTTCTTCCTCCCTAAATCCTCCATCCTCATGACCAACAAAGAAATAGTTGAATCATTTTCCAGGCACATCTTGGGGAGGATGTGGGGCCATTGGAGGCTGTCCTTCCTAGATAAGTCTTTAGGAGTGAGAACAAGGAGTCTTACCCTCCTCTGTCCACCCACCCCCATGAATGGGCCTGGCTCCAGCCAGGAGTTGTGGTTTTTCCTGAGCTCCTCACCTATCTCTTCTGGATTTCACATTGGCAAACGGGGTTGCAAAGTGCTCTTCGTGCTCTTTGGACAGTGCCTTGTGGAGAGGAATGCCCATGCCCCTGCATTCCAAGGCCTTGGTAAGCAAGCTCAGAGTAGCTGGATTTTTCTAAAGCAATTGCAGAACACCTGCTTTTTCTTTGTTTCCTCTAGAAAGGACCAACCACACCGAGCTCAGTTATGGCACACACAGTGGGACCTAGACAAAGGGAGAGGGTGACCGACATCCCAACTAGGTAAACACAGAGGAGGTTCCACATGGACTTATCTGGGTGGCTGTTTTGAAAACGAGAAACAGTCAAGAGTCCCTGGCCCCACAGACCCACCTCCCCAACTCAGCACTGTCTGTCTGTGCAGCAGGTGCAAGGACGTGTTGAACTAGCTCTCTGCAGCCTCCTTGGAGGATGTGATCCTATGGGAGGGGTAGGAGTATTCAGGTCCTTGACATCTCCCAAATGTGTGATTCCGGGATGCCAAAGGCCTTTGGCCAGGTAATGCAGTGTCTACAGGCTGAGGTTGACATGCATCCCCACCCTCTGAGAAAAAGATCCTCAGACAATCCATGTGCTTCTCTTGTCCTTCATTCCACCGGAGTCTGTCTCATACCCAACCAGATTTCAGTGGAGTGAAGTTCAGGAGGCATGGAGCTGACAACCATGAGGCCTCGGCAGCCACCGCCACCACCGCCGCCGCCACCACCGTAGCAGCAGCAGCAGCAGCAGCAGCAGCAGCAGCAGCAGCAAGAGTAACTCTGACTTAGGAATAGAGACAGCCAGAGAGAAATGTGATCAATGAAGGAGACATCTGGAGTGTGCGTGCTTCTTCAGAGGGACGGGTGATGGGCAGATTGGAAAAAGCACCGCAGATGGGAACCTTAATCTTTCTTTTCTAAAATTGATGCTATGAAAATTTGCGTTTTCTGTAACTTGTAAAAACTAAAAGTTGCTTGTCTACTGAAAAGCCTCTCTGCCTCTATGTTTTATACCATCGGATGCCAACTCCCGGCCTTCTAAGCCACCTCCCCTTTAGGCTAAAACTGAGACATGAACTTGAAAAATTGACACTGGCTTCCTCTCTCTTTAGGGTCCCCAGGCAGGTGGCTGGGACACTATTTGCAATCAGCAAGGAACCCTGCTGCCCTTAGACTCCCCACAGAGCAAGCAGAACTTGCAGAATGGGGTAAAAACACTCTATTAAAGATTTTTTAAACCTATTTATATTGTAATAAAGTAAATGTAAATAAAATTTAAGTGAAGGCAGATTGCAGATATTTCCGATGCTATACAAGATATATCTCATAGTATGGGTGTAGATTCTGCAAAGGTTAATGCAGTTAAACATATTTGACACATAAAAATGTCAGATCCAACATTAATCATTCACCAATTGTAATTGCCTTTCTATGGGTCTCTTCTCCCCAAGACATAGCTTAAAACACCAGGCTCGGTAGAAATCTGGGAGGAAAAAAGCAAATAATACCTCTCAGCTGTCAGGGTCTATGATACGCTTTGATAGATTTAGCACTGATTTCATTCTCTTTACAATTCAGTGTGATTGGGTGTGCGTGTGTGTGTGTGTGTGTGTGTGTGTGTGTGTGTGTGTTACTCCATGTTTCTCCTTTTTAAGGAAGGAGAAGGTGTGGAACAAGAGAAAGTTCCTAAGTCTGAAGGAAGTCCAACCCAGTTATGAAGGGAATGCCATCCACAAGCCTTTTTTATAATTGGCCCCTGCCTCAGGTAAAGGGGTCTCCTTTAAGGAGCCAGTCTGGCTAAATTGGCAGATTCTGAACAAAGCCTGGCCCTGACAAGTCTTCAGAAAAACCGGTTTTCACCTCCAGAATGTGCCCCAGGCAGCAAAATACAATAGCTCTCCTTGGCTGAGTGGTGTTTTTCTTAGGAGCTCACTCTAAAGGAGATTCCAGCTTTGCAGATGGATACCGATCACTTGAATGGCCAAGCCCTGCCCCCCAGCCAGTGACCTCTGAGGGGGATAGGTCTCTTCACCTTCCCCCAACCCTTCCCTGGTTTTTGACCCCTGAGGGTCCCAGATTGCCAGCAGGAACTAAAAGGAATAAACCTTTCTCCAAAATATTTTTCTGTGTCAAGTTAATACAGATTTAAAACCTAGTTTCTGTCACCCCCACCCCTTCATTCCAAGACCCACAGGCAACAAAAGGATGAAGAAGCCAAGCCACAGGCATTTTTTAAAAACATGTTTACTCATAAAAATTGCGTAGCAAATCCAACTGTGGGGTGCTGTTTGTCCAGCAAACTCCTAGTTAACCAGCAAACACCTCCCATTCAAGGTCTGAAACAAGCCCTGAGATCAGAACAAAAAGCACACGACAGACACGATGTGGCACTTTTATTTGCAGCTTGGTTTGAGCCCTATGACCTGGAATCTTTTTATAGGAGATAAGTGCTTGTGTATTTATGTGCCACCTGGCCCAGGTGGAGGCAGGAACCAAAATGGCCAACAATGGTGACCAGAGGGTAGACTGTCAAACACTAGCCAGGGCACAATGCTGTGACTACAAAAGGTTCTACCTGATGTGCTGTTGGGTTCCCCCACACCCAAAGTCCCATGCAAATGCTATCTTCACAAGAGAGGCACAGGGCTTGGTATTTCTGGCACCAAGGTCTGAACTGCCCACTTCCTCCCACCAATGCAGCACAGATTGCTTATTCCCTCTTGCAGAAAAAGAAAGCCCCAAGCCTGGCCCAGAGCAGCTTGCCAGGGAAGCCAGTGTGTGCCCAGAGCTGGAGCAAGCTGCTCATCCATCTTCTATGTCCAACCCCCACTCTTTTATGTCTCATGTCTTCATTGCAAAGCATGACTCGCCAAAAACACAACACAGAGAAAATGGTTTCATCAAAATTCCCTTGCAACAACAACAACAACAAAATAATATTACCCTGCTTTCATTATTCACAATCTTTTATTGAGGCAAAAGGCAAATATCATTGAGCCAAACCTGGATAGACAAATATATACAACCACTGGTAATTTAATATTTTGTGCTAATGGTATACACTGTAGATACAACCCAAGAGGAGTAAATTACAATCCTATCAATAATATATCGCATCCGGGCTCCAGTTTCCCAGTACACGAGAAAATGTGTATTGGCAAAGGCTCTCCAAATATTAAAAGCCATGCATATAATGAGGCAGTGGGTACAGAAGCTAGAAACTCCCACAGGACTGTGCTGTGGTCTTTGTTATCAAGGCCCTTCGGGAGGAAATAGCCCACATCAAAGCTCCAAAACCTGATGCTAAATGCAGACATCCCATTCACATTCTCAGCCGATCTCTAGGTGAAACTTCAATCACAGAATAACCTATAATCAGGGCACCAGTTTGCAGACCGCTTGGAGCACTGCCCCAATTTGGACACCTCAGGTCTATGGTAGATGCCCAGGTTCTGCTGGGGTGACCTGTGGTGATGGACAAGGGACTCCAGAGAGTCCCAGTACAGCTGGCAATATCTGAGAGACCATGTGGCTTTGGAGCAGCCTCCCCAACTTGTATGTGATCCTCCAAAAGAAAAGTGGGAGGAAAAAAAGGCAAGTACTGATGACAGGCAAGGAGCCAACGAACTGCAAAGGGAGACAGATTTACTTTGAAATTTAAAATGCCCCACTTACTAAATTTTTGTCAGTGGATCCAAATTCCCTTACTCCCCACTGCAAGAGAAGCAAATGACAGTCTTACCTAAGAGCAGAGAGGAAATATTTCTACCACAGTAACACTAGTAATCTGGACAAATAAGGTTAATGTGGGCAAGAGGGCTAGTTAGTGCCACAGTCACATGCTGGTACTCCCTTGATTCAGGGGATATTTGAGGAAACTTACAAGGCAGAAGGGGCAGTCTCTTTCTTGTCTCTTTTTCACTCAGCCCCTGGAAGAAAAAGGAGAGGCCGAGGAGGGAAGGGAGGCTGTCAGGGTCTCTCAGGCAAAAGGAACAGGAGGCAGACAGCAGCCCCAACCTCAAGCTCAGAGATGAAAAGCCCTGGCCAGACACCAGTTCATTAGTGGAAATAAAAGCTTCCTAAATTGCAGGGAACTGGCTGGGCTTTCTGGAGAGACACCTACACATCAAAGAAAAATAATGTGAAAAATTCTCTTTGTCTGGGGACAAGAAGCAGCATCTGGGAGTCTCGTCATAGCCTCCCTCCCTCCTCCCCACAATCTCTCCACCATCCGCCTTCAAATCCTGGGAACCTTTTGGAGGGGTGAAGATGGCCATTTTTCCTGCTGCCTGTCAGATAGCAGGGACCGGTGGGACACCTGGTGGGCAGTGGGGGAAATACAGCCACATTGGACCTCAACGTCACTACCCAGGTCTAGAGAGACCTGTGTATTCTGAGATCATGGGAAAAAACAAGGAAGGCATCTTTCTAGGGGATGTGACATTGAAGTGGACTTTAAATGTAGTAGCAATTGACTTAAATTTCTGCTATTTTCAATTGTGTTTGGGAAGAGATGGGTGGCTCAGAATAAATATAAATAAATAGAATCCATAGATAAACAAATACACACTATAATGTTTAATGCAATTCCCACATTATTTAAACTTTACTTAAAGTCGCATTGAAAATAGACACTATCCCAGTGGACTCACCAAGCCAAACACCTGGAAGAAGTTCCCTGAAGATAATCCATAGACGAGAAACTCTCACCAAAGATAATGGAACATTGACTGCTCAAGGAGAATACTGAGGAATTTCTTATTTGCACCCAAGAGGTTGCCAAGAGCAGCCCAAAGCTTCTGAGTCAGCATGTGAAGTGGTTAAGAGGGGATCAAATTAGATCTGCTGCCAATTTGATATGGCTGTGGGACTTTGGGCCAGCCACTTAACCTCTCTAAGACCCAATTTCCTTATCTGTCAAATAGAAATAATGATAATAATAGCAAGTACTTACTAAGAGCCAGACACTGCATGCTTTGTGTATATTAAATCATTTAATGTCTCCAGCCATTTTAAGGTATGACTGATATTTCTGTTTTATGGAGGAGAGAGGGTAAGGGACCAGCCCAAGATCACATAGCCTGCGAGTGGCAAAGCTAAGATCCAACCTGGGCTCCCTGACTCTGGAGTTCACACTTGGAGCTACTACTCTATCCGATCTCTTAATGATAGCATGAGAATTAGGTAAGATAATGCATGCAAACATGTTAGCAAGTGCCTAGGCCTAGTAAATTTCTTGCACTCAAAAATATTATTGATGATGGTAATCTCAGTATCAAGTAAAAGTATCTTCGAGAAGCTTGTCTAGTGCCCACTCAGCTGGAATAAGTAAGCATAGGCACACCTTTGGCTGCCAGAAATCCAGCATTAAACTTACTGTGCCATTTAGTCACACCTTCAGGCCAACCTTAACTTTTATCACAATTATCTCCTCCTCCCATCACCTTCCTTTTAGGAGAGTTTTCATTGCTTTGTTTACCTTTACATTTAGTATATGTATCATACTGTAGGAGCCTTGAGAGTTTTCTTTTTTAAAATTGTCATAAGATCAATGAGAAAGATACAACAATTTTTCCAGGGTAAGTGCCATTTCAAATTTTTACTTTATTTTTCTGAAGGCAGGTGAAAAGTACTGGTGAGAAAGAAGCTGGTGAAGAGCTAATAAAGAAAAAAAAAGTTGGTTTTTTGTTTGTTTGTTTTGTTTTTGTTTTTTGTTTTCTTTTTTGAGATGGAGTCTCACCCTGTCATCCAGGCTGGAGTACAGTGGCATGATCTCGGCTCACGGCAACCTCCTACTCCTGGGTTCAAGCGATTCTCCTGTCTCAGCCTCCCAAGTAGCTGGGACTACAGGCATACACCATCATGCCCGGCTAATTTTTGTATTTTTAGTAGAGATGGGGTTTGGCCATGTTGGCCAGGCTGGTCTCGGACTCCTGATCTCAGGTGATCTGCCTGCCTTGGCCTCCCAAAGCGCTGGGATTACAGGTGTGAGCCACTGTGCCTGGCCAAAAAGAAAATTCTGAGCACATAAGAAAGTAGAAGAATCAATAGAAATCAAGCAAGAAATAGCAAACCAGTGATCAGGGAGGAGGATGCAATCATGTTGCTGTGGCGTGGGCACTGAGCTTAGCAATGGAGAAGCAGCTTCTTGATGAAGCCCCATCCTGTGGGTTCCATCAAAGAAATTTCCAAAGTTGAGGCAGCTCTGACACCAGGAGTGTCATCCCCAGACTGGAGGTCACTCCCCAAGACCTTTCAGAGATGAGACTGGGGACCGTTATGTCACCTGGACCCCTTGGACACCTGGCTTCATATTACCACTCCCTCCTTTAAGTATCCAGCTAATTTTAAAGTATGAAGTTCTTGGCTGGAGAACACTCACCTGGCAAAGTTGCCAACATGAGGGAGATCCTCACCTGAAAATAGACAAAAAGCAGGCCAAAGGAGAAACTAAGACATTTTACGGAATGAGTTCCTTTTGTCTCATTACCTTACCCTGTGACCATCTGCCTTCTAAGAAGGAAGAAAGCCTTGAACAAAGAAAGTGTCCCTTTTAATAACAGAACCATATAAATTACATTTCATTACTATGCCATTATGGCACATTGCATTATAATCCAACTGTTAAAGGCCTCACCTCAGAAGCCCACATCATTCCACTTTGCCCTCCTGAACGCCTGGCTTTTAGCTGAGTCAATTTATCTACTGCAATTAGATCCAGGCTCCCTCCTTCCTGAGTCAAGTCCTTCCCAGCAATGGCAGCAACTTTCCTATGCCCCTCCACGGGGGCTCTATTTAACATTTCTTGCCACTCAGAGCTAATTTTGAAAGTTGCTATGGATTCATTAATCAATGACGTTTTTTTTTTTTTTAACTTTAATATGCTTACAATTTACCTGAGAATCTTGTAAAAATGCAGATTCTGATTCAGCACATGTGGGATGGGGCCTTAGATTCAGCCCTTATCACCAGCTCCCAGGTGATGTTACTGTGATGCCTGGATCACACTGTGAATAGCAAAGGCTTAGGGGGCTCAAGGTTCAAAACCCGGTTCTCCTACACTATTCCTCTCAGTTTAGCAGGAGGCCCAGACTCATGTCTCATCTTGGTGTCTCTCCTTTTCCTTTGGCTTCTCTTTCAAGTCACTGGTGTCTTAGCCAATCTGGGGAGACGGGAGAGGCCCAGAGAAGGCCACAGGAGGGTATGCTTGGCTTGTCACAGCAGCAAAGGCTCTGACAAATGATGAAGAAGATGGGGCCTTTTCTGAATGTGGAAATGGCCGGGTGATCCCTATTCAGGAAACACCAGTGGTTTAGAATAGTAAAAGTGCCCTAACACCTAATATGTGAGGTAGGTTACTGAGAAATGAAACGTTTGTGACCCAGAAACTAAGATAAAGCAACTTCAAGTAGTTCGACAAGTGACAACCAACCTGGAGCAAGTAACCATGAGTACACTTTCGCCGCCAGAAAATCCAGACCTAAACTTAGTGGGCAATTTTCAAGATTTAAGAAGAAAGGAGTTAAGTAATTTACCAAAAGTCAAGATTCTGGGCCAGGCCTTAAACTGACCCAATTTCTTCTGCCTCTTAGTCTAGTGTTGTTTCTAACAAGTCACTTTATTGCTGTGCTGAGAAGCTACTCCTCTCTCATTAACTTTACCATGTAGATTTATCATCACTCTAAAACTCAGTGCTTCCGTTCTTTTTTTTTTTTTTTTTTTTTTTTTGGGAATGGAATCTGTAGAGCTGAAAAAATTTAAAAATTAAATATTGAATATAAATATGTTTTTAAAGGATAGTTATAATGTTTAGCTACTTTTCTTTTCCAGTGTTTACTGGAGAAACAAACTCCATCAATAAATGAACATGCCAAGCAGTGATGTCGGATCAGAAAGTCAGTGACTGGGTGGGAAGAACTTAAGCTGAAGCAGGATAGATCTAGGTTCAAATCCAGTGTCTGTGGCCTTCAGCAAAACAGTAAATCTGTGCTTCAGTTTGTAAAATGTTACAAGGCAAAACAAAGTCCCTACCTTTCACCTTTCAAAGTCATTTCACATACAAAAAGTACTTCATGAATGATAAATATGAAAATAATTATTTTTATGTATCTCAATTGTAGTAGGATACTGAAGAGGATCAGAACATGCCATCTCAAATATACCAACTTGGCAAGAGAATTATTTTGACTTGAAGGCAAGTGAGAAGAAGCAGACATAGGAAAAGTTATTTTTCTCTCCCCTTAACTGCCTAAGAACAACATAAATTTTTTCGTTTGTAAAGGTAACATAAATTTCCAGTTGTAAGTGTGCCTCCCTGTGTTGTACCAGAAAGATAACTGTTCTAGCGGCAACACTTATTACCTGAGATGACTTATCGGACCTCATTACACAACTCTTAATTACCATACATTTTTCTAAACATCTTCCCACAACTTACCCCCACCACAGGAGCCCAAACTCCTTTTCCCTTGTCTAACTTTTTCTCCACATTTTATCACCCTTTGTTAAGATAGTATATAAGTTCTGAATTCTAATCTCCTTCTTTCACATTTCTTTATGAACTTCTGTGCATACCTACCCAATTAAGTGTTTTCTTCTTCTGTTAATCTGCTATTAATTAGTTTGACTTGTGGGCCCCAGCCAATGAACCTAAAAGGGTAGAGGAAGGATTATTTTCCCCCTACTAAACAGAGAAAAGAAAAGACAGGAGGACAAGGAGGGCTGAGGCAAGGCTATGAGGTCATAGCCATAAGGAAATTACAAGACACAGAAGGACTAGATGTTAACAAAGTAGAGGTCTAAAATAAAATGTTCAGGCTGAGCACAGTGATTCATGCCTGTAATCCCAGCACTTTGGGAGGCTGAGGCAGGCAGATCACCTGAGGTCAGGAGTTCAAGATCAGCCTGGTCAACATGGCAAAACCCTGTCTCTACTAAAAATACAAAAATTACCTGGGCATGGTGGTGCATGCCTGTAGTCCCAGCTACTAGGGGGGCTGAGGTGGGAGAACCACTTGAATCGGGGAGGCGGAGGTTGCAGTGAGCTGAGATCACACTATTGCACTCTAGCCTGGGGGACAGAGTGAGACTCTGTCTCACCAAAAAAAAAAAAAAAAAAAAAAAAAAGATAAAGAAAGGAAGAAAGAAAAGAAGAAGAAAATGTTCAGATAGGCATCTGTGGATTTAAAACCAAAGGGCAGGAAAAAAAAAGTTATTTATGGGTCCAAATGGATTTTGAAGGTGTAGGTAGAAAGAAGATATGCTATGGCCAAAAGTCAAAATAATATAGTGTTTCAACAGACTAAAGACACACAGTGTAAGAGTTCAGAAAGTGCGTTTCCCAGAATCAAGGTCAGGTAATGAATCAGAAAGCGAGGCAAGTTGGTGGACAAGACAGGCACCCACTACCAGAAACGAGCAAGAGGAGGCTGAGAGTTGACCTTGCTAGAGGCAAGCATCTGGACCAGTCAGGAGTTCCTCAGTTCTTCCTATCAGGGTATGGGCAGCTCAAAGCTTGCAGATAAGGGGAGAGAAGTAACTGTTTTTGAATGGATTCTAAGGAGAGTAATGGGGCAGCAACTGACAACAGATTCTGACACAGCATCATTAGTGTATTCCTGACCCACATTCAATTTGTCAAAAAATGCTTTTTAAAATTGAGTCTTTATTGAGAAGACATGCACCTAACTCTGATTTAAACAGGCAACATAGCTGCATGCAAAATAAGAGGTTAGATAGTATCTTTTTTATACCATCACTCTGTATGTAGAAGCAAAGATCTTATTTTGCATTCATATTCTATGTTCTGGATAAACTGTCAGGTCTCTCTGCCAGATTTTTATGGATAATTAGAAGGTTGCAAAAAGCAGATGTTATGAAACTATCTGTGACTACTCCTTAATGGTGGATGACAAGAACTCAGTACCATTTCTTAATTACACGAGACATAGTAAGAGGTGTAAAACAGAGGGAGAACTGTCAAAGCCTGACAAGATATCAAACAGTTAATCACCCACATTGAACCGGAACATTTTTCTACCATGTAATTCAGAACGCAGATCCCACCTTCCTATGGCTAAAAAAAAATTTAGCTATAAGTTGTGTGTGCTCCTGTGTTACTTCATTTCAGGTTTTAATAATTGATATAAGAGTACCTGCATGAAATAGGTGGCTTTTCTTTTGAAAACTAATCAAATAAGAAAATCTGCATCTTATGAAATACACAGACAATTTTGCTATGTCAGATCCTATTTAGTAGCATGAAAGGAAGCTACAGGATTTTGGAAAACTTGTTCTTGTCTCATGAAGACAATGACCACAACTAATATTTTTTGAGGTCTTGCCCTGTGCCAGGGGATATATAAGCTCTTCACTATGCATTATCTCATGCAATCCTCACAACTCTAAGAAGTAGGTGGACACTTCAATTAGCCCTATTTTACAGAAACGGAAACTAATAGGCAGGGAGCAGTGGCTCATGCCTGTAATCCCAACACTTTGGAAGGCTGAGGCTGGTGGATCACTTGAGCCCAGGAGTTCAAGCCAGCCTGACCAACATGGCAAAATTCCACATCTACTAAAAATATAAAAATTACCCAGCCATGGTAGTATGCACCTGTAATCCCAGCTACTTGGGAGGCTGAGGCAGGAGAATGACCTGAACCTGGGAGGCAGAGGTTGCAGTGAGCCGAGATCGTGCCACTGCACTCCAGCCTGGGTGACAGAGCAAGACTCTGTCTCAAAAAAAAAAAGAAAAAAGAAAAGGAAAGGAAACTAATAATAACAACAGTAACAACACAAACTCAATAGCTACTACTACTGGCAGTTATTAAATACTGGCAACATCTACACATTGTACTTTGCATACATCATCTCATTTAACAGGGCTGGTGCCATAATTATTTTTATTTTTATGTAACAGAAGAGGAAACTAAGGTATCAAGAGATTGAAAAATTGGCCCACATGATTTTAAGTGGCAGTGTCAGAGTTCCAAATCTAGTCTGTCTCTACACATAGTACATTTAACCCTTGGTCTATACTGCCTCTGTTTGCCTGGTGACTATAATGGGCTGAATTCTCTTCCCCCAAAAATCATATGTTGATGTCCTACCTCGCATATGTTGATGTGACTGTGTTTGGAGATAGGTCCTTTAAAGAGGTAATTAAGTTTAAATTGGGTCATATGACTGGGTTCTAATCCACTGTGACTGGTGTCCTTATAAGAATAAAAGATTTGTGGCTCGTGCCTGTAATCCCAGCACTTTGGGATGCCAAGGCAGGCAGATCACTGGAGGTCAGGAGTTTGAGATCAGCCTGGCCAACATGGAGAAACCCCATCTCTACTAAAAATACACAAATTAGCCGGGTGTGATGGTGTGTGCCTGTAATCCCAGTTACTCAGGAGGCTGAAGCAAGAGAATCGCTTGAGTCCAGGAGGCAGAGGTTGCAATGAGCCGAGATCGTGCCACTGCCCTTCAGCCTGGGCAATAGAGCGAGACCCCATCACTAAAACAAAAGAGAAAGAAAAAGAAAAAAGATCAGGACTCAGATACGCACAGAGGAACCCATGTGAAGACAGTCGTCTAAAGTCACAGAGAGAGGCCTCAGAGGTTATCAACCCTGACAATACCTTGATCTTAGACCTGTAGCTTCCAGGACTATGAGAAAATCGATTTCTGTTGTTTAAGTCACCCAGTCTGTGGCAATTTGTCATGGCAGCTCTAGCAAATGAACACAGTGGCCCTGTTTAAGTCCCCTAACTTCTGTATGTCTCAGTCCCTTGAGCTGGAAGACGTCTAGGGTCCTTCCCAAGTAAAGCACCCCATGCTTGCCATGCTTTAGTATCTTCACCCTCCTGGACACCCAGCAGGGGCTTCTTTCCAGGGCTTCAGAACTGACAATTTTCCTCATGCTTCAGCCTCTTCTACTCTTCCCACCCATTGCTTCTGGTAATGTGGAAGGCTCACGTAAGAAACAGCAAGGGGCGTAGCCCCGGAGCAAACAGGAGGTGAGAGCCAGATGATGTAAGCTCAGTGGGAATCTCTGGGGCGGAGCTTCTCCACCTACTTCTAAAACACCTGCCCAACTATTCAACCATTATTTATAAATTTACTTATATGATACAATTATTTATAAATGTGCATTTGTCATCATTTATAAATTACTCATGGTATACAAAGCACTATACTGAGTGCTGAGATACAATGCCAAAAACAAAACAGAAACAGGTCCCTACCCTCCTTGAGGATACAATAGAAGGGGGAAGAAAATATGAGTCAAATAATGGCACTATTTTTCAAAAATGCAATTTAAAACAAAAACAGATACTCTGACGGGAAGGCAGAGAGCCCTTTAGACTTTTTATGGAGACTTTTGTTCTTGAATCAGAAGTGAGGCAAAAGTGCAAGTACTCCAGGAAGAGACAGCATACTGACTTAAAGTCACACCAAGCTATAAATGACTAAATCAGTCCTTTTCCTAGAACTAAGCTTTCTGAGGAGAATAAAATAGCAGAGATAATGGAGTGCTGGAAGTGGGGAAAGAACATAGAAAAGAAATGGTGAAGAACTGAAGATAAATGTCTGCTGTTTTGCAACTTTGCCTGGGGCCAACCCAGGCTCTGTTCTACACTCCTGTTACAGTGAGTCTATTAGTGTTTACTCAGGTCCTACTGAGAAAAGAAGAGAAAAAGAGAGCACCATTCTCTATAGGAAGATAGAAAAATTACTAGTAAATGAAAAAGCACCTTCTCTGCAACGTCAGGAGCTTTCTCTTAAATTGAATAAGCAGGTACACACCCAAGAATAATTAGACAATGATGACAACTCTGTTCAGACTGCCTGTCCTTGTTTTCCCAGCAGTAAAATCCAAATGCATTTCATTCTGCAACAAACACGGATTGAGAGGCCACAATGAGTCAGGCACGGTGTTAGGTACCAGGGCTGGAAAGAGGAAAATTGCATGGTCATGTCCTCAGCATTTAGGAGTTCACTGTGGAGGAAGAAATTCAGACTCATAAACAGTCACTGCACTGTAATGCAACAAACACAATGCCAGAGGGTACAGAACACCAGAGGATGGGGATGTGGGACCCACATTTTAAAGTTGGATCAGAATAGAAAAAGATCAATCAGGGAAGCTTACTTGGTGATGGTCTTTGAGCAAGACCTGAAACCAAAGGGTAAACTAGACCATAATTATAATATGGAAGGAAATTATTTGCTATTGACTGTTCTAGGCAGCAAGGAATGTGGACTGCGGAGAGAAGGGCAACCCAATGATGGTAATAATAGTGGTGGAGTTTGCAAGATAGGTGTTTGCAGTAGTTTCTCAGCAAGCAGAATATGAGACAGAGATGTCATTTAAAGATTTCTCATGATTCAAAACCTATAGAAAGAGAGGAAGAAAACAGGTTTGGGCAGGGGGAGAAGTTGAGATATGATGTGGATCGAATGACAACTTCAGAAGATTCACAGAAACTTCTGGAGCTCAAGTGTCTCTTCAGAGTTATCCTGCATTGGGGGTGAATGGGCTGAGCTGTTATAACCCCATGATGATAAGTCATTGCATGTGGGTGGCCCCTGGAAGAAGGCATGACCTCAGCTGAGTCTGTTTTCTCAGGTTGAGACAATCCCCTCAGAAGTGCTGACAACTGAGGGTCATCTGCCAGCAGCACCCACCACAGCAGCTGGGGTAATTAATTCTTCATTCCCAAAAGGGGATCTGAGCAACATATCACAGCACGCGGCACAGTGCACCTCTTACACCATTTGGATCCACTTCTTCACCAAAGTCCTAGGAGCAGTTCCTCCAGCATTCTTGTAAACCCCTGGTTGGGGAGGGAACTTGGAAGATGAAGGTCAGTGGGATCGCCTACAGTCCCCACCATGGCAATTGGCTTTGGAGCTACAATTGACATTCTCACCATCCTCTGTTATCCATTATAGATCCCCTTACTCTCAGCTAGTATCCCTGCTGCTTTTGCTATCCTATTGGTGGCATGAGCTAGACCCTAACAGGATCTGTACTCCTGGTTACCATGCCCTCCTCAGGCCAAGGTTGCTGCACATCCTTCTAAAATTGGTCAAGAGAGTCTCAAAAGATGCCCAAGTGGATCATCTGAGTATCAAACCTAATTCCCTCTGCTCCTAGCAGCCCTGCCTCTTCCTGCTGACCAGAGTAAATCACTCTAGCCAACTAGTGACTCCTCTTCTTGCCTGCTGGTTCCTAAGCACAATGAGTTTGAAGTGCCAAAGCAGTAATAGTTTATAATTCAGCCAGGTGCCTGCTGTGTCCCTTGGCAGCAGTATTTTTTCCTTTAGAAAATGGAGGCCTGGCACGATGGCTCATGCCTGTCTGTAATCCCAGCACTTTGGGAGGCCAAGGCCGGCGGATCACGAGGTCAGGATATCGAGACCATCCTGGCCAACATGGCGAAACCCCATCTCTACTAAAAATACAAAACTAGCTTGGCATGGTGGCATGTGCCTGTAGTCCCAGCTATTTGGGAGGCTGAGGCAGGAGAACCGCTTGAACCTGGGAGGCGGAGGTTGCAGTGAGCCAAGATTGCACTACTGCACTCCAGCCTGGTAAAACAGCCAGACTCCGTCAAAAAAAAGAAAAGAAGGTGGAACTTTTATATACGCAGAGCTTTGAGTTCTGGGGATGAGAAGCCCATGTTCCCCAAGTGGCTCACTAGGAGTGGGGCTCTGGTTTCTACCATTTGGTTTCCATACTTATGAATCCTACATATTAGGTGCATAGCACTGTATAAAATTTTTTATTTAAGGTATATGCTGTTTCCTGAAAGATAGCACCACATCCCCTGAGATGGCACTACTGTGTGCCTTGAGTAGGTTATTGCATCACTCTATCAGGCCAGCATTTTTAGGTGGTGTAGTATGTGATATGATCAGCAGATTCCCCGTCAAGTGCTCACCAACTCAACTCTTTGGCAGTAAAGTATGTCCCATGTACTGATGCCATGTTATGTGAAATCCTGTGCCAATGGATTAGGTACTCTACAAGCCTCCAATAGTGATGCTGGCTGTGATCCTGTTGGCATGACAGGCAAATCCATATCTGGAATATGTGTATATTCATGTCAAAATAAAGTGCTGCCTCCTATTCACAACAGCAAAGACATGGAATCAACCTAAATGCCCACCAATGATAGAACTAGATAAAGAAAATGTTGTACATATACACCATGGAATACTATGCAGTCATAAAAGGGACCAAGATCATGTCCTTTGCAGGGACATGGATGGAGTTGGAAGCCATTATCCTTGCTTGGCAGACTAACACAGGAACAGAAAACCAAACACTGCATGTTCTCACTTATAAGGGGGAGCTGAATGATGAGAACACAGGGACACATGGAGGGGAACAACACACACTGGGGTCTGTCAGAGGTGGGTGGGGAGGAAGAGAGCATCAGGAAGAATAGCTAATGAATGCTGGACTTAATACCTAAGTGATGGGATGATCTGTGCAGCAAGCCACCATGGCACACATTTACCTGTGTAACAAACCTGCACATCCTGCACGCGTAACCCAGAACTTAAAAGTTGAAGGAAAAATAAATAAATAAAGTGCCGCCTCTTCCAAAGTAGAAGAGATCCAATATAGTCAACTTGCCACCAAGTGGCCAGTTGTTCTCCTTGAGGGATGGTGTTGAATCTGTCGTTCTCTGTTGCTAGCAGGTTGGTCATTAGACAGTGACAGTAGATAAATCAGCCTTGGGTGTTCATGCTGCTGTGCCCATGGGCAGCCTCCAACCCTGCCAGCATGATTCATATTCATTGGTCCATTTTGCCAACACAGGAGTGGCCAATAATAGATCCTTTCAGCATACTTGGTTCTGTAATATCTGTTCTGTGGTAGAATGTGCTCCAATAGGCATAAAAAATGTGATATAAAAATCTTCACACTTTAGGCCTGCTTCCATATGTCTATCTTCATGCCCCTAGCCCATACCTCCTTGTCCCAATCTTCCAATCCTTTTTTTTTTTTTTTTTTTTTTTTTTTTGAGACAGAATCTTGCTCTGTCACCCAGGCTGGAATGCAGTGGCACGATCTCGGCTCACTGCAAACTCCACCTCCTGGGTTCAAGCGATTCTCCTGTCTCAGCTTCCCGAGTCACTGGCATTACAGGCACTGCCACCACGCCCAGCTAATTTTTGTATTTTTAGTAGGGACGGGGTTTCACCATGGTGTCCAGGCTGGTCTCGAACTCCTGATCTCAAGCGATCCTCCCACCTCGGCCTCCCAAAGTGCTGGGATTACAGGCATGAGCCATTGCACCCAGCCCCAGTCTTGTTATATCCAAATTCCTACTTAGCCAGCCTACCCACTCCCCATAACTCATGAGTCCACATATATTCTAGCCTTGGAACACTTGTTTTTACACACAAACTGGATGATTAGGTGGGCTTCCTTAGCTCTTCCCACTATGAAGATTTTCTCCCATTTCAATCTCACCCTGAGTGGAGCTATAGTTCAGCTACCAAACATACCCACAACTAAGCCAACCCATCCATGAATCACAATCAGGTTTTTTTCTTCTTTCATCAACAGATCATAGGGAATACCATGTGTAGCCACATATGTGAGCTGAGGAAAAGGTTCTGGTGTAACTGTGGCAGAGGTCATGAGACCTGGGCCACCTGATAGCGCAGCTTGCTTGTGCCTTTTGGTCCTGTCTGTGTACAATTCTAGATATATCACTTCCATCATAAGAAAGCCAGGCCCTCAGAAAGCCAGGCCCTCCTGACCTTATGACTTGGTGGCTCTGAACAAACTTAGCTTATGATGGCCAATCCCAAATGCATGCTAACTTAATGTCTGATGATCAAGCATTCCAGCCCTATGGGGAGCATTAACACTTTATGAGCTGTTTTTCAAATGGTATGTAATTCTCTGTTACAGATAATACAGCCTTGCCCAAGAATTCCAGGTATCTATGTTGTGATTCTCTCACTGAACTAATTCCTTTCCTTTCACCTTCCTTCCTTCTTCCTTCCTTCCTTCCTTCTTGATACATAATATTTGTACATATTCATGTGGTAGATGTGATATTTTGATACATGCATATAATGTGTAATGATCAAATCAGGCTATTTAGGGTATCCTGATTTAGTATTTAGGATTACCTTGAACATTTATCATTTCTTTGTGTTGGAGACATTTCAAATCTCTTCTAGCTATTTTGAAATACACAATACATCATTAACTATAGTCAGTGTCAGGCCTCTGAGCCCAAGCCAAGCCATCACATCCCCTGTGACCTGCACCTATACGCCCAGATGGCCTGAAGTAACTGAAGAATCACAAAAGAAGTGAATATGCCCTGCCCCACCTTAACTGATGACATTCCACCACAAAAGAAGTGTAAATGGCCGGTCCTTGCCTTAACTGATGACATTACCTTGTGAAAGTCCTTTTCCTGGATCATCCTGGCTCAAAAAGCACCCCCACTGAGCACCTTGCGACCCCTACTCCTTCCCGCCAGAGAACAAACCCCCTTTGACGGTAATTTTCCTTTACCTACCCAAATCCTATAAAAACGGCCCCACCCTTATCTCCCTGGGCTGACTCTCTTTTCGGACTCAGCCCGCCTGCACCCAGGTGAAATAAACAGCCATGTTGCTCACACAAAGCCTGTTTGGTGGTCTCTTCACACGGACGCGCATGAAATTTGGTGCTGTGACTCGGATCGGGGGACCTCCCTTGGGAGATCAATCCTCCGTCCTCCTGCTCTTTGCTCCATGAGAAAGATCCACCTACGACCTCAGGTCCTCAGACCGACCAGCCCAAGGAACATCTCACCAATTTTAAATCAGGTAAGTGGCCTCTTCTTACTCTCTTCTCCAACCTCTCTCACTGTCCCTCAACCACTTTCTCCTTTCCACTCTTCAATCTCTCCCTTCTCTTAATTTCAATTCCTTTCATTTTCTGGGAGAGACAAAGGAGACGCATTTTATCCGTGGATCCAAAACTCCGGCACCGGTCAGGGACTGGGAAGGCAGCCTTCCCTTGGTGTTTAATCATTGCAGGGACACCTCTCTGATTATACACCCACGTTTCAAGGGTGTCCGACAATGCAGGGATGCCTGCCTTGGTCCTTCACCCTTAGTGGCAAGTCCTGCTTTTCTGGGGAAGGGGCAAGTACCCCTCAACCCCTTCTCTCCTTGTCTCTACCCCTTCTCTGCTTTCCTGGGGGAGGGGCAAGTACCCCTCAACCCCTTCTCCTTCACCCTTAGTGGCAAGTCCTGCTTTCCTGGGGCAGGGGCAAGTATCCCTCAACCCCTTCTCCTTCACCCTTAGTGGCAAGTCCCGCTTTCCTGGGGCAGGGGCAAGTACCCCTCAACCCCTTCTCCTTCACCCTGAGCGGCAAGTCCCACTTTCCTGGGGGGCAAGAACCCCCCAATCGCTTATTTCCACACCCCAACCTCTTATCTCTGTGCCCCAATCTCTTATCCCTTATTTCTGCACCCTGACCTCTTATCTCTGTGCCCCAATCCCTTATTTCCATGCCCCAACCCCTTCTCTGCTTTCCTGGAGGGCAAGAACCCCCCACCCCTTCTCTGTGTCTCTGCTCTTTTCTCTGGGCTTGCCTCCTTCACTATGGGTAAGCTTCCACCTTCCATTCCTCCTTCTTCTCCCTTAGCCTGTGTTCTCAAAAACTTAAAACCTCTTCAACTCACACCTGACCTAAAACCTAAATGCCTTATTTTCTTCTGCAATGCCGCTTGACCCCAATACAAACTCGACAGTAGTTCCAAACAGCCAGAAAATGGCACTTTGAATTTTTCCATCCTGCAAAATCTAAATAATTCTTGTCGTAAAATAGGCAAACGGTCTGAGGTGCCTGACGTCCAGGCATTCTTTTACACATCAGTCCCTTCCTAGTCTCTGTGCCCAGTGCAACTCGTCCCAAATCTTCCTTCTTTCCCTCCCGCCTGTCCCCTCAGTACCAACCCCAAGCGTCGCTGAGTCTTTCTAATCTTCCTTTTCTACAGACCCATCTGACCTCTCCCTTCCTCCCCAGCCTGCTCCTCGCCAGGCCGAGCTAGGTCCCAATTCTTCCTCAGCCTCTGCTCCTCCACCCTATAATCTTTTTATCACCTCCCCTCCTCACACCTGGTCCGGCTTACAGTTTCGTTCCATGACTAGCCCTCCCCCACCTGCCCAGCAATTTACTCTTAAAAAGGTGGCTGGAGCCAAAGGCATAGTCAAGGTTAATGCTCCTTTTTCTTTATCCCAAATCAGATAGCGTTTAGGCTCTTTTTCATCAAATATAAAAATCCAGCCCAGTTCATGACTTGTTTGGCAGCAACCCTGAGACACTTTACAGCCCTAGACCCTAAAAGGTCAAAAGGCCGTCTTATTCCCAATATACATTTTATTACCCAATCTGCTCCCGACATTAAATAAAACTCCAAAAATTAGAATCTGGCCCTCAAACCCCACAACAGAACTTAATTAACCTCACCTTCAAGGTGTACAATAATAATAAAAAAAAAACAGTTGCAATTCCTTGCCTCCATTGTGAGACAAACCCCAGCCACATCTCCAGCACACAAGAACTTTCAAACCGCAGCAGCCAGGCGTTCCTCCAGAACCTCCTCCCCCAGGAGCTTGCTACATGTGCGGGAAATCTGGCCACTGGGCCAAGGAATGCCCGCAGCCCAGGATTCCTCCTAAGCTGCGTCCCATCTGTGTGGGACCCCACTGAAAATCGGACTGTTCAACTCACCTGGCAGCCACTCCCAGAGCCCCTGGAACTCTGGCCCAAGGCTCTCTGACTCCTTCCCAGATCTTCTCAGCTTAGCGGCTGAAGACTGACGCTGCCGGATCGCCTCGGAAGCCCCCAGACCATCACGGATGCCGAGCTTCGGGTAACTCTCACAGTGGAGGGTAAGTCCGTCCCCTTCTTAATCAATACGGAGGCTACCCACTGCACATTACCTTCTTTTCAAGGGCCTGTTTCCCTTGCCTCCATAACTGTTGTGGGTATTGACAGCCAGGCTTCTAAACCTCTTAAAACTCCCCAACTCTGGTGCCAACTTGGACAACACTCTTTTTTAGTTATCCCCACCTGCCAGTTCCTTATTAGGCCGAGATATTTTAACCAAATTAACTACTTTCCTGACTATTCCTGGACTACAGCTACATCTCATTGCCGCCCTTCTCCCCAACCCAAAGCCTCCTTCGCGTCTTCCTCTCATATCCCCCCACTTTAACCCACAAGTATGAGACATCTGTACTCCTTCCCTGGCAACCGATCACATGCCCATTACCATCCCATTAAAACCTAATCACCCTTACCCTGCTCAACGCCAATATCCCATCCCGCAGCAGGCTTTAAAAGGATTAAAGCCTGCTATCACTCGCCTGCTACAGCATGGGCTTCTAAAACCTATAAACTCTCCTTACCATTCCCCCATTTTACCTGTCCTAAAACCAGACAAGGCTTACGAGTTAGTTCAGAATCTGCGCCTTATCAACCAAATTGTTTTGCCTATCCACCCCATGGTGCCAAACCCATATACTCTTCTATCCTCAATACCTCCCTCTACTACCCATTATTCTGTTCTAGATCTCAAACATGCTTTCTTTACTATTCCTTTGCACCCTTCATCCCAGTCTCTCTTTGCTTTCACTTAGACTGACCCTGACACCCATTAGGCTCAGCAAATTACCTGGGCTGTACTGCCGCAAAGCTTCACAGACAGCCCCCATTACTTCAGTCAAGCCCAAATTTCATCCTCATCTGTTACCTATCTTGGCATAATTATCATAAAAACACACGTGCTCTCCCTGCTGATCGTGTCTGATTAATCTCCCAAACCTCAATCCCTTACAAAACAACAACTCCTTTCCTTCCTAGGCCTGGTTAGTGCGGTCAGAATTCTTACACAAGAGCCAGGACCGCACCCTGTAGCCTTTCTGTCCAAACAACTTGACATTACTGTTTTAGCCTAGCCCTCATGTCTGCGTGCAGCAGGTGCCGCTGCTTTAATACTTTTAGAGGCCCTCAAAATAAGTAGAGGCCTTTCCTACAGGGTCTGAGAAGGCCACCACAGTCATTTCTTCCCTTCTGTTAGACATAATTCCTCAGTTTAGCCTTCCCACCTCTATACAGTCTGATAACAGACCAGCCTTTATTAGTCAAATCAGCCAAGCATATTTTCAGGCTCTTAGTATTCAGTGACAGACTAATGGTCTATTAGAAACACACCTCACCAAGCTCAGCAACCAACTTAAAAAGGACTGGACAATACTTTTACCACTTTCACTTCTCAGAATTCAGGCCTGTCCTCGGAATGCTACAAGGTACAGCCCATTTGAGCTCCTTTGTATTAGGCCCCAGTCTCATTCCAGACACTGGACCAACTTAGACTGTGCCCCAAAAAAACTTGTCATCCCTACTATCTCCTGTCTAGCCATACTCCTATTCACCGTTCTCAACTACTCATACATGCCCTGCTCTTGTTTACACTGCCGGTTTACACTGTTTCTCCAAGCCATCACAGCTATCTCCTGGTGCTATCCCCAAACTGCCACTCTTAACTCTTGAAGTAAATAAATAATCTTTGCTGGCAGGACTATGCTGAATCTCCTTAGGCACTCTCTAATCAGATGTTCTAGGTCCTCCCAATTCTTAGACCATTTATACCCGTTTTTCCCCTTCTCTTATTTCATTTAGTTTTTCAATTCATACAAAGCCGTATCCAGGCCATCACCAATCATTCTATATGACAAATGTTTCTTCTAACATCCCCACAATATCACCCCTTACCACAAGACCTCCCTTCAGCTTAATCTCTCCCACTCTAGGTTCCCACGCCGCCCCTAATCCCGCTTGAAGCAGCCCTGAGAAACATCGCCCATTCTCTCTCCATACCACCCCCCAAAAATTTTCACCGCCCCAACACTTCAACACTATTTTGTTTTATTTTTCTTATTAATATAAGAAGGCAGGAATGTCAGGCCTCTGAGCCCAAGCCAAGCCATCACATCCCCTGTGACCTGCACCTATACGCCCAGATGGCCTGAAGTAACTGAAGAATCACAAAAGAAGTGAATATGCCCTGCCCCACCTTAACTGATGACATTCCACCACAAAAGAAGTGTAAATGGCCGGTCCTTGCCTTAACTGATGACGTTACCTTGTGAAAGTCCTTTTCCTGGCTCATCCTGGCTCAAAAAGCTCCCCCACTGAGCACCTTGTGGCCCCTACTCCTTCCCGCCAGAGAACAAACCCCCTTTGACTGTAATTTTCCTTTACCTACCCAAATCCTATGAAACAGCCCCACCCTTATCTCCCTGGGCTGACTCTCTTTTCGGACTCAGCCCGCCTGCACCCAGGTGAAATAAACAGCCATGTTGTTCACACAAAGCCTGTTTGGTGGTCTCTTCACACGGACACACGTGAAAGTCAGTCTACTATGCTATGGAACACTAGAACTTATTCTTTCTATCCAGCTAATGTTTGTACCCATTAACCAACCCCTCTTCATCCCTACATATTCCCTCCCCCACACCACACACACACACACCCTTCTCATTCTCTGGTAACTATCATTTAAATCTTTACCTCATTGAACTCAATTCCTTCTTGCACCACCTGCCACGGAAATTTTGGCGTTTCTACCTAACTTAGTGTACCCTCTTCCCACGAAGAAATTTCCTTTCCTGCCTTGCTCTTCTATTTTTGTTTATTCATTAAATACTTACTGAGTTCTTAATACGTGCCAGGCACTGTGCTAGGTGTTTCAGGTTCAAAGAATAGGGCCCAGTACCTACTGTCAATAGCTTACAAACTAGTTGAAAATGTGTGTGTTTAATCTAGATAAGATACATTCAATGTGTCACTTAACAACAGGAACATATTCTGAGAAATGCATCTTTAGGTGATTTTGTCATTGTGCAAACACCATAGAGCATACATCTGCAAACCTTGATGGTATAGCCTACTACACGCCTAAGCTATATGGTATGGCCTATTACTCCCAGGCTACAAACCTGTACTGCATGTTACTGTACTGAATACTGCAGACATCTGTAACACAATGGTAAGTATTTGTGTATTTAAATGTATCTAAACTTGGAAAAAGTTATGTGTTGAGCCATGATGTTATGAAAGCTATGTCACTAGGCAACAGGAATTTTTCAGCTCCCTTATAATCTTATGGGACCAATGTTGCATATGTGGTTTGTCAATGACTGAAATATCATTATGTGGTGTGTGACTGTAGTTGAAAATGAAAGTAGAGGGCATAAGGTTATGTTTTATACTTCTGTGTGATCCACTGCACATAGCATGTGGAAAGAATAAACGAATAAATAGGAAATCAAATGAAGGAATGTGAAACCTAACTAACCTACTGAGATAACAGCACCATGTCCATAAGGCACTTCTAACCTTATGGGTGCAGCTCTCTGTAGCTCTCTGTGTTTTCCAGCTCATCTTTGGCTTTTATCTTGGGAGACATCTGGTTTCACAACATGTCTTCATGGGACAATCAGGCACTATGGTTGCCCTCTATCTCTGTCATGGCATGTGAAGGGGGATGGGTAGAGAGTTCCAGATGTGAGCCTCTGGATTCTTTGCAAATACTGTTCCCTTTTTCTGGGTTATTCAAGAAAAACAATTGTCTTTTCCTGTTAAAATTACCAACACCCTGCTCACAGCATCACCATCAAGCTTTGAGAGACAGAGCAGCTAAAAACGACTCACAGCAAATGGCCACGGATGAGTCAGAAACACTTAAAAGCTGTGATCAGGGGCCAGTTCAGTGCACAGTGCTCCATGGTTAGGCAAGCAGGAGTCACCTCCAGGGAGGCTAACAATTATTCCCATCCCCTTGAATGCTAAGCACCACCCCCCAAGCACCTGGCTTCTCGTTAATTTACCTGTGACATGTTGCTACACTTAATTGCATTTGACAATTAGTAACATTTCAACACCTCTTTTAATGGAACAATTAAAACAGTGCTTGTTTCAGTTGCAAGAAAATATATGAGCTGATTTGTCAGAGGAAAAGAAAAAAAAGACCAAACATAAACCTCCAGTGATAATTCAGTTATAGACAGCTTTGAGGTAAGCCCCTTCCCTTTTGCATTTTCCAAGAATTGTGTAAAACACATTTTCATGTCTGTTTGTTTGTTGCTTGGTTTCCCTGAATGAGCATTTCTCACCAGACAGCTCCTGGCTGTCTGTGCAGCCACGTGATATTAATTACAAGGAAGAATGGATGCTAAGCAGTTGCTGTTACTCATTTCTCACTCGTGTTGTTGCATTGATTGCTTGGGAAAGCAGATGCCCCAAAGGCAGCTCTTCCACACAATCAATGGGAGCCCTGGGGAGAGCCGTGAAGTCTTTGAGTCTTTGTCCTGGCTCCCATTTCTCTCCAAGTAACAGACACGAGAGAAAGTGTGGCCTCCTTATTCTCCTTGGGGTCCCTGAAAGAAACTTAAATAATTCTTATTTTTATTATCCTCCCCTCCCCTATTAGTAACAGAGAAAAATTATGCTGCTCTGTTATTGCAAACGCTTACCTCACAGCAATAGTTTACAAGTCTTTGGACTCATGAATAACTCAATATTACCATTGTAGATAAGGCTGCAAGGGGTGTGTGCTTGAAAACTCATCTAATAAAAGCTGTGAGGGGCATAGAATTAAATATGTCATTTGCAATGGGTTGATGCATTTCATTTTCTGAAACAATCATTTAGCAGAGAAGATGGAATCAATCACTGAAATGGTTTCCGTGTTAGAAAAAGTCCCAAGAATATGGTTGAAGATTCTGTCATTGCCCAGGGCCCACTAAACTCAGGGCAGGTACCTTGGTCCCCATGTTCCATACCAAACCACATTCACAGCTTACTGCTATTGTGGTTCTAGATGACCTGGAGAGTTGCTACTCCCTAAAGTCATCTGTGCTCTCCCACCACCGCTTGACTCCTGTGCTGTTCCTCCTGCCTGCAATGCCCTTCTCTGCTTATCCAAAACCCACCCGTTTTTCAGGATACAGCTCACACATTCATTCCCCAAGAAGCTTCCTAATTGCCTCAACCATTTTCTCTGCCTCACCATACTTGGATGCTTCCTGTATCACTCATCATATATTACTTTGTCTTACAGATACTTGGACCATTGACTTATGCCTGCATAGACTGTCAACTCCTCTGAGGACACGAATCCTTTAAATAACCCATACGCTCCAGTGTAGTATACACTTATTTTTAACTGTTGGGTATCCTTTAATAAGTATTTGTCAAATTGAATTGTACTGAATTTTCAGATATTGCAACAGACTTTTAAAAAATTACATTGGTTTGATTGATAATTGCCTTTTTAACCACCTCCACCCCCACAAAAAACTACCTCTTCCAGTGAAAGCCTAGGAAAGGCAAGGAGAGCATTTCTGCTCCTGCTGCTTCCACTTTAACCCCCTCAATCAGCTGAGGTTGGTGAGTCATCCACTCCAGAGTGGTAGGCATTTGTAGCCTGAACACTGTCACATGTCCCCCAAGGGAGAGGTATAATCAGAAGAGCAATAATGACTTTCTGCGAGCTGGGATGAATGACCTTATCCCCCAGGTCACCAGGCAATCATCTTCTGAAATCTGCCACAGATTTATCACAATCCTTTCTCTTTCTTTCCACACTGACATTATTCCCTCTTCCTTTGCCCCACACACTCCAGCTTGCATCCAAGGGTTCTCTGATTGAATTGTCTGAGGATGTAAACAGAACTTTCATATATCCCATCCTTCTCCTGGGTCAGGAGGGAAAGAAGTTGTTCTTGCCAAAATATAGGCTTAGTTACCTATTGGTTTGAACATTCTCAACACCCTCACCTCCCCAACACATACACAAGCATGCCCACATGCACACACAAAGGGCCAACTGCACACGTTAATGCCACATCTTGCTAATTGTGTTACCCTTGCTGGTTATTATTAAGGTCTTTCTTTCAGGATGGAGAAACCCAGCCACATAATGATCAAGGAGACAAGTGGAGCATATCACTGCAGCGACTGTGCAATGATAATGAGTTACATAAATCAAAGTTGGGTAATTTACCTATCAGACTGAGCAGTGAATAGGGATTTTCAGTAACTGTGATTGTTTGGTGATAGATTTTTTAAAATAACTCTTGTATGTAGATGTTCTGGAACTAGAGATTTGTTCCCCAAAGAGAGGCAGCAGAATGCTGTGCAGAACATGGCATGGCATGTCAAGAGACTCTTGAGCTAATTTTAGCTCTGCCACCTTGGGGAAGGAAGCCATTTCTCTTCTCAGGGCTTCTGATTCTTCTGTGAAATAAAATGAACTTTGCACGCTCTAAAGGTCTCTTTCTATCGCAGATTGTATGTTGTCCACACTTGCTTTGTTCCAGCAAAGTGAAAGGGACTCCTTCCTGCCTTCCACTTTGCAGAGAGAACTGGGCTGGGGTACCAACGAGAGTCAGCCAGTTGTCTGCCCACCCACCGATGGGGTTCCCCATGTCCTCTTGTCCTTCACCAAATAGAGAAATATCAGTTGTTCCTCACTGTGAACACTGCTTCAACCTCAGACTCTAAACTAGATCAAGGGCTGGGATCAGCCTCTTCCTCTTTTTACACTGGATTAAATGGTTTGCACACATAACAGGGTGCTGTCACATCCAGTCCTTTCCCTCAAATTGGAGCACAATCAGTTTGTATTGTTAAACCCTTTTGTTTTTTTGGTGTTTTGTGAGTTAATACTTCAGAAATTGGAGAAATAAGTTATTATCTTTTGGAACCATAGGTTTAATAATTCATCTTGTTCCCATTTCCCAATTGAATAAACCTCAGGAAATGGGATGTCCCTTGAGTCAGACCCAGACTCAGGCAGCAGAAGCCTCAGTGAGATTGATAGACACAAGGTGAGCTTGAGCCCAGGGTTGCTTCCAGGGGTCATGACAGGGATTATGTGTATGTGTGTCTACATATATTTGTGCATCTTCATATATGTGTATATGTATACATATGTGTATCTGTATCTGTACATGTATGTGTGTATGAGTGTGTGTTTGTGTGCGTGTGCACAAAATGTATTGTTGTTGTCTCCTGGTTTATGTTCCTGAATCAAGTGATGGTTATATTTAAGATAAAGAGGGGGAAGAGGCCAAAAACTCACCCTTTTCCCAAACCACTAGTCTTTGCCTCCTTCTACAAATAAGGATCCCTTCACTTTCACCACAGGGAGAAAATAACAATAATCTCTGCATGGAAAGAGATTCGCCAAGCATGAAGCACGTTGGCACTAGCTCCTCTAGAAATGAACAGATAAACAAACAAATGGGAGCTTGGAAGGAAGAGATAGTTTATGAATAAAACAATGTTTTATTAAGTTGCTATTAAATTTCAATTGAACAGTGCCTGGGATACATAGACACAGACATATTCCTGAAACTAATTGGTTTTCCACATCTGCCTTGCTTCCTAATTGGACTAATTACTGCACTGTAGGATCATGTTCGTCGTACTACAGAAAGCAAGAAACCTTGATTTACAGTGAGAGGAGCAGCAATTAGAGGGAATTAATTCATAAAGCAACACCTAAATAAATCATATTATGAGAAGACAGAAATGTAATTATTTTGACTGGTGGGTCTCTGGCGGGTGAACATCAAACTTAAACCTCAAACCAAGCTGCTAAATTCTCCCCAGATCAGTGTAGCATCTCCTATTTCATTGAGCATGTGCTACCTATTCTTTAAGACCTAATTGAGGCGCTGTGTCAAAAACAATATGGCCCAACACATCTTCTCTCCAGTGACGGAGGAAAAAACATCAAGTTCTCACTACCTCGTATTTGTCCTTTGTCAGAATTAAATATGAGCTCAGTATAACGTGGATAATGTGTTATGGCTGCAGTTTCAAAATGAGAGCCTTTGCAAACTTAAGTGTCATTATGAATCTTCTCTCGACATCTAGTGGCATTTTTGGGTTGTAGCTAAGAGAGCTTATTAGTACGAATAGCATGTTAAACTCCAGCATCTCAGTAATTCATTTCCCCTTGCTCTGAGGGAACAGGCTAAGGTCCTGCTTGGCTGTAAGGGGCTTGAAGACCCCACTGTATTCACTGTCATCTTTCCCCTTTGACGGTGAAGATCCTCTTCAGATCAAGAGACTCTGTTGTTTTTATTTTTGGGTTTGGGTTTGGGTTTTTTGTTTTTGGTTTTGGCTTTTTTGGTCCTTCTTTCTGTCATTCACATTATATCCGAGAAGAACTTGTGAAGAGCCTCCAGAGTAAATCCTCTGAGTCTCAGTTTCCTCATCTGCTTTGGTTTGAATGTACGTGTCCCCTCAAAGTTTATATGTTGAAATGTAACCTCCAAGGTGATGGTATTAGGACATGAGATGAGGCCTTTGGGAAGTGATTACAGCATGAAGGTGGAGCCCTCGTGACTGGAAATAGTGCCTTTATAAAAGAAACCTCAGAGCACTAGACAGCTAGCCCTTTCTTTCTATTGTGTGACAACACAGCAAAAAGGTGCCATCTGTGAACCAGAAAGCAGGCCCCCACCAAACACTGAGCATGCTGGCATCTTGATCTTGGACTTCCAGCCTCCAGAACTGTGAGAAATAAATTTTTGTTGTTTATAAGCCACCCAGTTTATGGTTTTTGTTATAGCTTCACAGACTAAAACACTATCCATTAAATTTAGGGAAGTAGACTTGGCTGTTCTAATGACCTCTTCTATTTTGACATGCTAGGACTCCCATCCAGTAATCACCAAGTACTTTGACAATTTAACACCTTCAGTTCTGGTCTTTAACAACTTTCTTCTCTATACTGTAGAGATATGAGTTGAAAAGGAATGATAGAAGCTGGAGAGGAAAGGGAGTTAAGGAATTAAGAAAGATAGGCCAGTGTGGTGGCTCATGTCTGCAGTTCCAAAACCTTGGGAAGCCAACTCAGGCAGATTGCTTAAGGCTAGGAGTTCAAAATCAGCCTGGGAAACATGGCAAAACTCCATCTCTACAAAAACATACAAAAATTAGCCAGGCATGGTGGTGTGTGCCTGTAGTCCCAGCTACCTGGGAGGCTGAGGTAGGAGGACTGCTTTAGTTTAGAGTTTAACTTTGAAGCAAGGATGATAATAGTCTTTCCTAAAACTGACCCCTTCTGGGGACTGAAACTGCCTTTGTAAGATTAATGAAAGGCCACAAGGTTAGGATTAAAGCAGGGACCTGAATTCTGCTAAGCTGTAGGCATAGTTAAACAATAACCAGCCATTGTCCCTAGCTTGCTTTTCTTTCTTTCTTTTTTTTGAAATGGAGTCTCGCTCTGTTTCCCAGGCTGGAGTGCAGCAGTAGCACAATCTCTGCTCACTGCAACCTCCACCTCCTGGGCTCAATGATTCTCCTGTCAGCCTCCCAAGTAGCTGGCATTACAGACTTCCACCACCATGCCTAGCTAATTTTTTTATTTTTAGTAGAGACAGTCTTTCACCATGTTGGCCAGGCTGGTTTTGATCTCCCGACCTAAAATGATCTGCCCACCTCAGCCTCCCAAAGCATTGGGATTACAGGTGTGAGACACTGTGCCTGACCCCTAGCTTGCTTTCTTATAATTCCTTACTGCTCAGGAGTCATGTAGCAAAAGATCATGAGATCTGAAACTTCCCTACTTGCTTCTATAGATTACATCACTAATGTAAAGCCTAAGATTGATCTTTGAGATATTTTTCAGATGTTTGCACTCTGATGACCAACTGACATCACCCCAACCCATGACTTATACCAAGGAACTGACTCAATGGTTTTATGACCTCTACCTAGAAACTGATGATAATTTCATCCCCAACCAATCAGCAGCACACATTCCTGAGCCCCCTACCTGGCAAATTATCCTTAAAAATCCTAGTCTCTGAGATCTCAGGGAGGCAGAGTTGAGAAATATCTCTCATCCTTTCCAGTTGGCTGCTTTGCAATAAGAAAACACTTTCTTTACTACAACACCACTGTCTCAGGGTATTGGCTTTTCTGTGCCACAGGTAAGAAGAACCTTTCCACTGGGGAGTCACACACATGCAAAAGAATGTAAGTATTTCACAAATAAACCAGTGGCTTCCAAAAGCATTTAAATTACCCAACTCTAGATATTACAAGAATCTGTGATTATTCAAAACTTGCAGAAACTATAATGTCACATTATTATAAAATAAAAGGAATCAGTGTATTTGGAGAGTACCTTTAAACAACCAGCTGCTTAAATAAGAGAGATTTTTAAAAAAATACAGCAAACTAAGGCAATTCAGTAACCATGTATAGATAAAGGCTTCTAACAAACAGAAAAAAAGAATGCTTAAACATCTGAAAAATTGAATTTGAAACTGCCAAGTTCAATTTTGGCTCTATCCATTCCTTAGAAAATCTGTTCAGTAAGAGAAAATCCTAGGTGAATTAATGAGGACAGAGATGCTTGAACAAACAAATGTTATTGAGTATCTATTAGGCAACGCACCCAGCTGGAAGTAGAAAGGAGAAGGGATAAGAGTGGAGGCAGGGTGTGATAGGGAGAAACAAACCTAGAAAGCTCTGTAGAGGAAGAAAAAACCTTTTCCCTCTACCCATCTCAGGTTCTCCAGCTATGGCCCGTAAATGGAACCAACTAAAGACAGATTAACAAGAGAAAAATGTAGGAGAGGAAAAATAATGTTCTCTCTACTCTTCATAACTCTTAACTGGAAGAGACTCCTGTAACAAAAGACAGATTAACAGGAGAAAAACAAACAGAAGTTTAAAAACATGTATAGTTCATGTACATACAGGAGATATCCAGAGAAATAAGCAAATCTCAAACAGCTATCCTGGAATTCAGGCTTAAATACCATCATTTGCTGAAACAAAGCAAGAAAGGTATGGGGAGGGCATATTATGATGATAATTATTATAATGATGAGAAAAAGCATGGGCAAGGGTTAAGTTCATTATGCAGATTTAAGTCTGTGCCTTCTCCATTAGCAAAAGGCTCTCATGATTTAGAGTCATTCTTCTATTCCTGGTACAGAGAAGGAGACACCCTTACAAATGGATATTTCCTTAATAGATTTACATTTCCCTTACAAAAGGGCAACTTCTACTCTGTTTCCAAGACTTCTCCTGTTTCTGCAGCTTCTCAGAATAATCAGCTCAAAATAATCCTTATGCCAAAGAGGCATATTTTAAGGTGGTATTTTCTGGTTTCCTACAAAAACAAAAAAATGTATTAGCATTTGTTTGATGCATACACATGGGAGTAGCCAAAAAATGATTAACTAAAAGTGATGGTTAGAATTTGAACTTATGTTAACATCTTAATAAAAGGAAAATAAAAATTTAAGGAAATGACAAGGCAAAGAAAAAGGACTTTGACTTTCTAGGATGGCAAATTGTAGCAAGGAAAACATAAATAACAGAAAATAAGGGCTAGTTAATAAAGTTTGCTATGTAGATTCTTCTGGTGCCATCTCCAGGCTGATAGGGTCTAAAGTTGTTTCCAATGATTAACTTTCATCCTTTTTAGTAGAGAGGGGAGAAAGAACAACTTTACAAATTCATGTCCTGATTTTAGGCCAATACGGAGAGAGCAAAGTGTTTTTCTTGATTGTCTTCTTCTCAATTGCTTTAGTTCAAAATAATCTTTTTGAGTAAGTGGCATATTTTGGAGTGGCACATTCTGCTACTCCATAGCTCACTGTTTAGTGAAAGGAGACAATCACAACACAACTGACCATCTATAGACACTTAGGTAAGAACTGCAGTTATGATACTTCTAGTTTCTTAACTGACAGTGGAGCTAAATATTTGAAATCATGTCTGTCCCTGGGTTAGCTCTACTTAGCCTTGAGTCCTGTGAGTTGAGAAGAGGAAAGAGTTCACCAAAGGGATGAGTAGAACATCCACAGTCACTGTGAGTGGGGAAAGGGAGTATTCCAAGTAGAAGGCGCAGTATGTGTACCCAAAAGGTCAACATGCAAGTTCCTTATACTGTTGAGACACCATCACTCAGCAAGATGGGCATAGAATATTAAAGTAAGACAATGGGAAAGAGGAAGCCAGATTGCAGATTGCCTAAGGTGCTGTGTAAGGGCATCAGGATTTAGTCTATATATAGATGATGATTAAGCTTATGATCACCTGTGGCTAATCATATTTTCCAAAATTGGCCACAGTAATATTTTCAAGTCTCACATGCTCTTCTAGAACTTTGCCACTCCCCTTCAAGGATGGAGTTCATTCTCTTCTCCCTGAATCTGGGCAGACTATAACTGATCAGACCAACAGAATAGCAGCAGTGATATTCCATGACTTTGAGGCTAGGCCATAAAAAGCATATATCCCCCCAATCTCTATCTCTCTATCTCTCTCTCTCTCTCTCTCTCTCTCTCTCTCACTCTCTCCCCCTCTTTATCTCAATCTCCCAACCACTATGATGTAAAAAAGCCCAGGCCACATGCAGAAGCCCCATGTGAGTGTCTTAACCCTCAGCACTAGCTAAGGTCTCAGCCAACAGCCAGCATCAACAACCATACATGTGGAATGGGAAGTATTCACATGACTCCAGTTTCCAGCCCTCACGTCTTCCACCTGAGACCCCAGATATTGTGGAGCAGAGGAAATGCCCTGTTGAAATTTCTGACCCATGGACTTCAGGAGCATAGTAAATGATTCTTTGAATGACAATACGTTTTAGAGTAATTTATTGTGTATCCAGTATACAGTAACTGGAATATGATCTTAATAATAACAGAGCTTTATAGATTTTCACATTCACTACTCACTTGGTCCCCAATGGGGGACGAATTGTTATTCTCCTAATTTTATAAAAAGGCAAAGTTCCTTGATTAAGAGACAGAGCTAGCAGATGGTAGAGCTTGCATTGAAACCAAAATGTTCTGGCTCCAAATCTTGTTTTCTTTCCACTATACTACTCTCACTGGATAACACTGCATTTTGGTGAATAGGAGATGGGCTCAATTAGATCTGTGATTTAGAACGTGTTTCTAGGCCGAGTGTGGTGGCTCACGCCTGTAATCCCAGCACTTTGGGAGGTTGAGGTGGGTGGGTCACGAGATCAGGAGACAGAGACAATACTGGCTAACATGGTGAAACCCTGTCTCTACTAAAAATACAAAAAATCAGCCGGGCTTGGTGGCGGGTGCCTGTAGTCCCAGCTACTAGTGAGGCTGAGGCAGCAGAATAGCGTGAACCCGGGAGGCGGGGCTTGCAGTGAGCCGAGATCACACCACTGCACTCCAGCCTGGGCAACAGCGAGACTCCATCTCAAAAAAAAAAAAGAAGGTGATTCTAGGGACAGTGTAGCATGATATGTGTAGTAGTTCTGGGATCAAATTGTCTGGCTTTTTTTTTTTTTTTTTTTTTTTGAGACAGTCTTGCTCTGTCACCCAGACTGGAGTGCAATGGCATGATCTCGGCTCACTGCATCCTCTGCCTCCCAGGTTCAAGAGATTCTCCCACCTCAGCCTCTCAAGTAGCTGGGATTACAGGTGTGTGCCACCATGCCCAGGTAATTTTTGTATTTTTAGTAGAGATAGGGTTTCACCATGTTGGCCAGGCTGGTCTCGAACTCCTGACCTCAGATAATCCACCCACCTCAGCCTCCCAAAGTGCTGGGATTACAAGCATGAGCCACCTCACTCAGCCCAAATTGTCTGGCTTTAATCCTTAGCTTTGCCTTCTATGAACTGTGTGACTTGGGCAAATTAAGAGATGTGCCTGAGTTTCTTTATTGGCAAATAATTTGGAACAATGCTTGGCAACCCAATGTGCTCAATAAATGTTGCTCATGATTATGGATTAAGTAATTGCTGTAGATCCAGGAAAAGAGGCCCCTGCCCTGGACCCTCCACTTTAGAAGGACCCTCTCTGGCCCATCTCCAGTTCTGCTTCTATTCATAGGGCAAAAGTACATGAGCCAAGAAAACATGATCATCCAAGCCTGTGTCCTTCCCTCTAGAGTGAGCTCAGTTCACTCAGAATCCTGAAATTCCCTGCACATATGACTCCAGGCCTGCTTCCGTGGCACAAATCATTATCTTTCCTGGTTCTTCACCCTAAGAGTAGACTGTGCTATTGACATTTTCACCCTAGGCCTAGGGGTGGCCAAAGCTTGGCTGCTTACAGGAGGTGTGGATGAATCTCACACGTGCAAACCCAAAACTCTCACAACTGTCTACACATCCTCTCCTATTATGGGATGGAGTTGCAATGCAAACAAGGGAGTGTGGACAATGGGCCAGGGTCCAGGAGTCAGTACTTCACATGCTACAACATTTCACCATGTAACTCTGGGGAGTCTAAACACTTTAAATTTGAATCTGAGCTTCCAGGTCATTATGAAGGTATATTTCTTAAATCAGAAGGCAAAAATGCAAGTTTCTTTAGCTTGATTTATGAGTTTTAAATATTTAGACATTTAGCATTAGGATCTCCATTCATATTCTCACCCCAGAGCATGTCAATCTTAGGAAAGAGACAAAAGGCAGGGAGACCAGTGGAAGAGCTCTTGCAGGCACTGAGATGACAAAAGGAAAGCCAGATTAGTGGTTAGGAACTTTCAAAGGAGAAACAGAATGGAGACATTTCAGGAGTAGAAGTGATAAGTTCATCTCCTAGTGGGAGAATGGGTTTGGGAATGGCCTCAGTGATGTCTCAGAGTCCTCTACCTGGATGTGTGGATTAGAAAGAAACAGTGGGAAAAGACACAGGTTTTGGGAGAGGAATATATACTTTGGTTCTACACATGCTGTGTTTGTGGGGCCAGCAGGCTATCCACAAGGTGAGGACTGTGGCTTGAGATATAGATTTGGAAAATTTAAGACATGAAGTTAATGTAATCAGGGTGGAAGAAGAAGGCTGAGCAGCAATTCAGAGGAAGAGCCGCAAATATGTTGTACCAGTCAGGATAAGCTGAAGTGACAACCCCAAAATCTCAGGAACTAACAACATTAAAGGTCTGTTTCTCACTCATACACGTGCACTGTGGGTCAGCTAGGGCTCTGCCCTTGTGTCTTAGTCCATTTTGTGTTTCTGTAACAGAATACCTGAGAGTGGGTAATTTATAAAGAAAAGAGGCTTATCTAGCTCACAGTTCTACAGGCTGGGAAGTTCATGGTAATGGCACTGGCTTCTGGCAAGAATTTTTCCTGCTGCAACGTAACATGCTGAAAGGTCAAAGGGGTAAGAGAGAGGTACGAAGGGGCCAAATGCTAAGGGCATCCTGGGTTTATAACAACTTACATTCTCAGGAGTTAATATATTCCTGAGAGAGGAAGAACACACCCCTGTGAGATGGTATGAATCTCTTCATGAAGGATCCACTTCATGGCCCAAATACCTCCCACTGGGCCCCATGATGTCCCAATGCATCAGCACTGGCAATTAAACTTTAACATGAGTTTTGGTGGAGACAAACTTCACCCAAACTACAGCACCATGCTTTCTCTCCAGGATCCGGGCCAGTGGAAGAGCATGGCTGGTGGTGGGTAACTGAGGAAAAAGGTAGCCTGGTTGCTATGACCTGAATGTGTGTGTCCCCCACCAAATTCATGTGTTGAAATCCCAAGTCCCAGTGGAATGGTATTAGAAGATGGGGGACTTTGGTGAGTGCTCCCTCATGAATGGGATTAGTGTCCTTATAAAAGGAGCCCCAGAGAGCTGCCCCACCCCTTCTACTGTGTGAAGATGCAGCAAGAAGTTACTAAGAGGAATAAGCCCTCACCAGACACCAAATCTGCCAGCACCTGGATCTCGGACTTCCTAACCTCCAGAAATGTGAGGAATAACAGTTGTTCATAAGGTATTTTCATTATAGTGCCCTAAACAAAGAGAGTGGCAATCCACACATTGGCTCTTACAGCCCCTTCTTGGAAATGGCATAGGACCCTGTTAGGCAAAGCAAGTTACATGGTAAAAACTGCCATCAGTGGAGCAGGGAGGTACAACCTTTTCCAGGGAGAGGCAGTGGTTATTTTTGAATATTCTAGAAAACTAAGTCATCTCATCTTTCTCCCCATCCTTTCCCTGTTCCATAACTGAAGCTATCTAAGATGGGAGTGGGGTTCAGGGCTACTTTTAAAATAACTATAGTAGTTAACCAGATTATTTTGGAGGGAAGAGAAGGATTAAGGTGCCAATGTTCCAAATGAGGACAAATGTACATGCAAATGTATAAAGATGAAAAGAGCATTCATCCAGTCAGTAGGCACTTATTTATCATCTACGAAGTACTGAGTATTGGAAAAAAATCTTTCTACAAACCCAATAAATGAATGTAGGGAAGGAAAAAAAATCCCCTTACCCTCTTATTTTTAGTGGCTGGTCTTGCAAAATAAACTGACAAAGGCAATTTAACAGGAGAAAAGCATACATGCTTATTTAAAATTAAAAGTTTTATATGGCACAAGAGAGCTTCATAAAGAAGAGAAAAGCCTCCAAAGAAGCAGTTAGGCTTGGAGGCTTTTATGCCATTCAGACAATGAATGATCAATTTGTAGAGAAGTGATAAGACAAAGGAAAGGCGTTTCTGGGCTTTTTAGGGATGGTAAACTGTGGGAAGGTAAATACATGGGTGACACTCAATGATAGATAACGGTTACTTTGCGAGGTTTGTTTTTGTAAATTATTTTCAGTGCCATCTCATCTCTGGTGATAATGTTGTCTTCCCCTAACTGGTACAAAAAGTAGGGTGGGTGGAATACCTTCACAAGAAGAATTTATGTTCCACTTTCAGGAAGATAGGGAGAGAGCAGAAAACTCATCCTGTGTCTGCTTTGTCTCAATTGCCTCTAGCTCAAAATAATTCATATGCCAGGGTGGCATATTTGGGAGCAGTATATTCTGGTCTGCTACATGAGCTAATACACCCAATACAACTGATGACTTATAGTCATAAGAGAAAATACAAGTTTTATCCAAATTGCTTTATATAAATTATACAAAAGTTTTTATATAATTGCTTTATATATATGAACCACACCTCCTCTTTTCCTCAGTGTGATAGTTGTTACTCCTGTCTATCTTAGTCTGTTTGGATGGCTGTAACAAAATAGCCTAGACTAGGTGTCTTACAAACAACAAAAATGTCTCACAGTTCTGGGGGCTGGGAAGTCCAGATAAAGGCACTGGCAGATCTGGTGTCTTGTGAAGGCCCATTTTCTGGTTCATATGTAGCATCTTCTTACTGTATCCTCACATGTTGGATGCAGTGAGGGGTCTCTCTCAGGTCTCTTTAATAAAATCTCATTCATGAGGGCTCTTACCCCTGTCCTATTCATCTCCAAGGCTCCACCTCTTAATACTATCATCTTGGGGGTTAGGATTTCAACATATAAATTTGGGAGGAGAGGCTGTTTTGAATGAGCTACTTTGAGCTTCTACATTAACTTAGCTGTTGTTTCCAGCAGTCACCAGAGATGCCAATAACACCAGGAGAAGATCCACCTGCATGAATCTTCTCAAGGCAGGCCTCACCATCAGGAGTCTGATCGCAGGTGCAACTGCAATGACGCAAAAACAATGTGAAGGTTTAAGACTTTTTAGTACTTACAGACCCTGGGGGTGTCAATGGCATGCCTGGAGGCCACATACCAGGGAATGCAGGCAGAGGGAGAGAGAAGGGACCCATGGGCCAGTGTTTTTATTGGGTACAGGGTGTTATCCAAACAGGTTGCCCAAGGGGAGTTGTAATGGGTCAGTTGAACACAAGTGAGCTCTAGTTCCAGGAGGCCACACTGTGACTGAGAGGTGATCACATTAAGTTCTTGGGCAAATTGTTTAAATGGTCAGTTTAAAGGAAATGGCAGGAAAATGTTGAGCCCAGCCTGTTAGGCAAGAAAGATGCCTCTAAGTATTATCTCTGGCCACCAGCTGGGGCCATTTGGGTGGGATATAGTACTAGGAACTGTGTCAAGGATGACTGAACCCTGCTTCTAATATAAGAAAGTTAAACGTATTTTAAAATAGATGCTGAGGCAACATAAAATTATAAACACTTACTACAAACATTCTGACATTCTGATTTACCCCCCAAATTCATTTCCTTCTTGCATGCAAAATACATTTCTTCCATCCGAATAGCCCCCAAAGTCTTAACTCATTCCAGCATCAACGTCTGAATTCCAAAGTCTCATCTAAATGTCATCTCAATATGATATTTAGATGAGATGAGATATGGGTGAGACTTAAGGTATGATTCATTCTGAGCCAATTCCCCATCCCCCTCCAGCTATAAGCCTGTGAAATCAAACTAGTTTTGTACCTACAATATATAATTGTGGAATGGGCATAGGACAGTCATTCCCATTATACAAGGGAGAAATAGGAAAGTAGAAAGAAGTGACATATCTCAAGCAAGTCCAAAATCCAACAAGGCCAAGAACATTCAGTCTTACAGCCCTAAAACAATCTTTGTTGAGTTGCTGGTCTGCCCTCTAAAACCACTAGAGTGGAGGTATGCCTTCTGGACCTACTGGGGTGGCTGTCTTTCCCCTTTGGATTTGAGCAGCCCTGCTCCCATGGCTTTGCGGCATGCAACCCACACTGCACCCCTCAAGGGTTGGAATAATGTGCCTGCAGCTTTCCTAGGCCAGAATGAAGTGCTGATGTCTTTACCAGCCTGGGGTCATGATTCACCTTAATGAATTTGCTGGGCATTGCCCTAGTTCTTTGCAGTAGCCCTACCTCCACAGCTGCTCTTTGCCTGGGTCCTTCAGCTTTGGGGGCATCTTTTGGAGTCTGGGTGGAGGCAGTCAAGCCCCTACACCTTTGCAGGGTGCAGCACAAACCATACCAGGCCCCCTGGAGCCACACTTGGGGCAGTTGAGGAGCATAGAAATGGAGTGTGAAGAGCAGAGCCCATGATGAGGCAGCACTAAGCAGGAGGTGTGCTCTGCTTTCCTTTAAAATTGTTCTGCTCTGCAGGCGCCTGCACTCTGGGACTGTGATGGGAGGGACAGCCCTGATGATCTCCAAGATACCTTTAGAGTCGTTCTTCTATTGTCTTAGACAATAAGTCCTGGCCTCTATTTAGACGGGTGATTCATACTAATTTTCTATCCATTTTGGCCACATCTTTCATTTTCTTTCTCAAACAGGCTTTCTCATTTTTTCCAATATAGATAGGCTGTGAATTTTTTAGATTTTTAAGTTCTGCTGTCATTTTGATTAGTCTTTAAATCATTCCTTTTTTCCCCCTCACGTTTACTATAAGCAATCAAGAGAAACTAAGCCATACCTTCAAGACTGCTTAAAAATAGCTTCAGCTAAGTGAGACCCTCGTCTCTACAAAAAAAAATTAGCCACATGTGGTGGCACACACCTGTAATCCTAGCTCCTCAGAAGGCTGAGGCAGGAGGACAACTTGAGCCCAGGCGTGGAGGCTGCAGTGAGCTATCATACCAAAGCACTCCAGCCTGGGCAACAGAGTAAGATCCTACCCCAAAAATAAAAATTAAAAAAATAGCTTCAGCTAAATATCCAATTTCATTCTTTACAAATTCTACCTTCCACAAAACACTAGGAGAGGAACAAAATTCAGCCAAGTTGTTCTTTGCCAGTGTATATAATAGGTCACCTTTCCTTCAGTTTCTAATAACATGTTCCTCATTTCCATCTGAGACCTCATCCAAATGGCCTTTACTGTCCATATTTCTATTAGCATTCTGTTCATAACCTATAAGCTATCCTGTAAGAATGCTGAGGCTTTCTTTATAGCTCTCCTCCTCTCCTGAGCCCTCACCAGAATCACCCTCACTAGCCAATTCACAGCAACTGTAGGCTTTTCTAAATCATGCACTTCAAAACTATTCCAGGCTCTATTCACTTACCTAGTTCCAAACCTGCTTCGACATTTTAGGTATTTGTTACTATAGCACCCCTACTTCTCAATACCAATTTTCTGTCTTAGTCTTTCAAGCTGCTACAACAAAATACCACCAACTGGGTGGTGTTACACGTGTCTGTGTGAAGAGACCACCAAAAAGGCTTTGTGTGAGCAATAAAGCTTTTTAATCACCTGGGTGCAGGCGGACTGAGTCTGAAAAAGGAGTCTGCAAAGGGAGATAGGGGTGGGGCAGTTTTATAGGATTTGGGTAGGCAGTGGAAAATTACAGTTAAAAGTGGTTCTTTCTTGTGGGCAGGGGCGGGGGTCACTAGGTGCAGGGTGGGAAGATCATGAGACGCATTGTCCAGGGGAGGAATGTCACAAGGTCGAATTGATTAGTTAGGGTGGGACAGGAACAAATCACAATGGTGAAATGTCACCAGTTAAGGCAGGAACTGGCTGTTTCACTTCTTTTGTGGTTCTTCAGTTGCTCCAGGCCATCTGGATGTATACATGCAGGTCACAGGGTTTATGATGGCTTAGCTTGGTCTCAGAGGCCTGACAGGTGGCTTATAAACAGTGGAAATATATTTCTCACAGTTCTGGAGGCTGAGAACTCCAAGGTCAAGGCAGATTTGGTGTCTGGTGAGAACCCATTTTCCGGAAATAGATTATAGATGGTGCCCTCTCACTATGCTCACATGGTAGAGGGAATAAGGGGTCTCTCTCAAGCCTTTTTTATAAAGGTATTAATCCCATTCATGAGGTCTCCAACCTCATGACCTAATCACTTCTCAAAGATCTAGCTTCCTAATACCATTGCCTTAGGGGTTAGGTTTTCAACCTACAAATGGGATTGGGGGACTCAAACTTTCAGACCATATCACTGTCATTTTACAGAAGAGGAGTGTGAAGTTGAAGGATTTAAGAAACTTCCCAAGGTTATATCACTGACCAGGGCCAGAGCCTGGATTCCATCCATTTCTAATTCTGACCCCCTATTGAACCATCTATCCTTAGCATTCAGAGAACTGCCCAAAGTATGGAAGAAATAAGCATGGAGGGTATAGAACAAAGGCTGGAAAAGAGGGAGCTAGTAAATTGGATACACTAATTCACTTTAGATTATAAAGTCCCCTTTCCAGTGGACTCCTGAAGACAATGATGTTTTAACTTTCAAATGGTAGATGACCAAGCATTGAGGAGAGCAGCTGGACTGACATTCTGAGGTGAGTAAAAGGTGGGAGACAGTGGGGAGTTGTCTTGGTGGAGACATCATATCAGCCTTTGAGGTCCCACCAAGTAACCGTCTTCTGTCCTTGTCTATCCTAATCCCCTAAGCAGTTTCAGACCCTAAGTCATGAAAAACTTTGCAACACCTTAAAATACCACATTCTGCTTTCTCTTACATGTGTTGCACCATTATCTCCCTTTGGAGATTTTAAACTTCCTGATGGCTGGGACAGTATCTTACATATCTTTGTTGCTCAATGGTTTGCACTTGGTACCATCTCCGTGTGTCTGCCTGAGTTGAGAATTTTTCCTCAAATAAGTCCCCCTACAGGCAAGGAGAGTTGTCCTTGATTAGAAAAAACTTTAATGGCTATATTTTGAAGAAGGGTTAAGGGGACTTCTCCTGGGAGGAGTGTAATTGGAAAGATGGAAAGATTATTTCCAGAACATTAGGGATTGCAGTATTTGAAGAATCAAAGACTGTCTGCTCTGTCAACTCAAGTATGCTCCTTTGCATTTAAAAGCAATGCCATTTACTTACAAATTATAGTGGCTTTGATGCAAATGAACCACTCCAGGACAGTTTCCTCTCCCCCAGATTAGCTAAGAAATGCTGGGGAAATTGACCAAGGATGCAGAATGCTAAGCCTGACCTAAGGCCTATTAAAATCAAGTTCCTGGTTTAATTATTTATATTGCTGAAATAAGAGGTAATTAGAATCCAGTAAAGTGGCAAGAGGAGGCCAGCCCAGGATTTTGCTTTTATTTGTATGGATTCTGGGTCTGGATATAGCAGACAGAGCATACTTGGCCCAGATAATGTGGAGAAATTGCTGAGAGCAGAGGCAGCGTCCTAGGCCAGACCCAACCCAAACTCATAGGAGAATTGCAGTAAATTACTGAACCCCTTTGGCCCTCAGTTTCTCTGTGCAATAGGGAGATCCATTCCTGCCCTGTTTATGAGAGAACCAGTGAGGGAATATTAACATAGTGGCTAGTATTCATCAATTTACAATTTATAAAGTGTTTTTGCATCCATTATCTCATTTGATCTCTACAAGACCCTGTGAAGTAGGAATTTTTATCATCTGCATTTTCAGCAGGAAAACTGGGTCTCTTGGAAGTTAAATTGCCCAAGTCACACAATCAATTAGTAATGGTGGCATGCTGCTTCTAACTCCAAATCCCATTAGGCTCTTCTTCTCCCCTCATAGATAGAATAATGATGAGAAGATAAGACATGACTTGTAATGTTACAGTAGGTAGTTAGGCAGACATGAGCAGGGCAGGAGAGGGTGCTCCCTGCCACCAGGAAGGTCAGCCGACCATCAGGTGATGGTCAGGTTGTTGTCAACTGTCTCTAAAATAATTGGCCACAGCCAGCACAAGGGAAAGGCAGTCTCCCAATAAATAGAAAACACCTGACACTAGTGATCAGCAGCTGCCTGATAAGATCTCAAGAGTTGGGTGAGTGGGCTCAAGCATGTACAGTAAGAGGCAAAATGGTGGAGTTTAACTGGTATATGACATTTTTCTAGGAACACTTGACTGGCAAGGGAAAAACACTCAAGTGAGCATGCACACATCTTCAGTAAACATACTACCCATGCAGCCCCTCCTGAGTGCTGGCAGGCCATTGTGCATGCAGACAGCCTACCCCAAGGGAAGAATCAGGGGAGAAGAGATGCAATCCCCCGGGAAGCATGCCAACATATAAAACCCCAAGTCAAAACTCAAACCACACAGTTGATCTCTCAAGTTGTCCACTTGGCCCTCTTCTGAGTGTACTTTACTTCCTTTCACTCCTGCTCTAAAACTTCTTAACAAACTTTCACTCCTGCTCTAAAACTTGCCTTGGTCTCTCCCTCTGCCTCATGCCTCTTGGTTGAATTCTTTCTTCTGAAGATGCAAGAATTGAGGTTGTTGCAGACCTGTACAAATTCACTGCTGCTAACAGTAATAACAACCCCATATTAACTTTTTAACAGCCAAGCATGGCTCAAAGAGCTATCCATATGCTAATTCATTTATTCTTCCCAACAACTCATTGAGGTAGGCATATTTACCAATGAGGAAACTGAGACACAGAGAAGCCAAGATCACACAGTTAATAGGTAGTGAAGCAGAGATTTAAATTTAAAAAAACTGGTTCTAGAATACACGTTCTTAAGCCCTGGTAATTATTTCAATTATTTTACCTATTTCCTATGGCACAGCAGGAGAATGAACAGGGCTTAGTAGTTACCTGCACAGCACTATTTGAAGGATGAAAGAATATCCGTCTTATCCATCCCCAACCCAGAAAATCTTTCCTATTAACCACCGTGTTATCAGACATTTTACCATTAAACAATTAAAGGTCTGGGCTGGGTGCAGTGGCTCATTCCTGTGATCCCAGCACTTTGGGAGGCTGAGGTGGGTGGGTCACCTGAGGTCAGGAGTTCCAGACCAGCTTGGCCAACATGTGAAACCCTGTCTCTACTAAAAATACAAAAATTAGCTGGGCATGATGGTGCATGCCTGCAATCCCAGCTACTCGGGAGGCTGAGATAGGAGAATCGCTTGAACCTGGGAAGCGGAGGTTGCAGTGAGGTGAGACCGTGCCACTACACTCCAGTCTGGGTGATAGAGCAAGACTCTGTCTCAAAAAGAAAAACAAAAAAAAAACTAAAGGTCTAGACAAAGTTATTAGTTCTCCTGGTTTAAATGCCTACACCCTGCCCTCCCATCCCCGTGTGCATGCATACAGAATGAAGTCTAAACTTCTAGCAGCAAGCCTTCCCTGCTCTCATCCCCTCTTTCCTCTTAGCTCCTGCTCCTCTCTGCTTCACACCCTACCTCAAGACCCATCAAACCTGGGCATGTTCCTCGAAAGGGCTGCCGTCTTTCACATACCACATACAAGTGAGTCTTCACGTTTAGTTCTCTCTTCCTTGTTACCTGTTGAACACCTATTTATATAAGTTCTTTGCTTCTCTCTTAGTTGACCTTCAGTGCCCCTCCTCCATGCTCCCATAGCAACCTGGGCATTTTCTTTACATAGGGCATAAGTGAGCAAGTATACTGAGAGCCAACTGAAGGAAAGGGTTATTTTTGCTCATGTCTGTATTATCCATTTCAGTGCCTGGTACTTAGCAGATATTTGATAAAGTTTCCCTAGGCCAATAATAGAGTGTTTATCAACACTCTGTAATAAACCAGATTGTCAGTATGGTTTTTTCCACAATTGAAATAGCTTTATAATTTTCCTCCTTATTAAAATAATGCATTCTCTTTGCAAACATATTCTGTTATAACAAGAAAATGTAAGGAAGAAAATAAACATCACCGATCCTATCACCACTAGTGATAGCTTCTCCTTTTAGCTAGTTTTCTGTAATTGCAGCTGGCTGAGAAAGAATGGAGCCTAAGACATGTTCATTCATCAGAGCCAAAAGGAAATGAGAGACCTAAATCACAGAGCACTGCTGTGGAAAGGCATCCATGAGTTTAACACTCAATGGATATGAGAAAAGCACAAGGTGACTGGTTGCTGAAGAAAGAGTACCAGGTGGAATAGGACAGCAAAGCTATGGTGACAGAATGAAGAGATTGACTTCTTTGCTGCCTTCAGAGAACAAAACCAATACACAGAGAAAATCTGCCAGGAAGTCAGCCTTTGATTCAATTTAAACAAGTTCCTAATAATCAGAGAGATCTCTAGGAAGAATATATTGCTCTCTAAGATAGTTAAGCTGCCTGTCCCCAAAGGTGTTCGAGTAGTTGCCAAGAAATATTCATTCACTTAGTCAATCAGTCAGTCAGTCATTCAGTCAGCATTAATTGAGCACCCATCACTTGTCAAATGATGTTCTAGGTGCTGGGGAACGAAAGTCAAATGAGGCCCAGTGGTCCTTTTCCTAAAGTGGCCATTCCTCAAGAGCAGGTTGCTACTACTACAGATGACAGGGTAGATCAGATGACTTCTGACATTCTTTCTAACTACAGCAACCAGTGAGTCTTACTTCTGAGAAGTCTGGCCCTAGCAAACCTCACAAAAGCATTCCAGCTTGAATGTGGGTAGAGGAAAAAAGATGAGAAGATCCCTGGGACATACTTCTCTCCTCCAGGTCCAAGGGGGCCTATTGCTTCTCCTCTATGGGAGGAGATTACAAGTGTCTGGATTTCCAGTTAGGTTGAGGAAAATCCACTTTTCAAAAGGTTTGGATTTGTACAGTGTTTTACTTAAATAATGAGGGCCAACTCAGCTTATGACCAAAGAGTTATTTCATAAAATAATCTGCAGTTGAGTTCTTCAAAACTATAAGCTCCCTTTATGCCTTTACAATTGGATTTGACCTCACCAACAAATAATTCTATCAATTTTGAGGAGGTCATCTATTTGAGAAATCAAGGCTCCCATGTTTAATTCCCTGGACCTGCATTTGCTCAGCTTAACCCTGTCAAACTGGTGTAGCAGCTCTTCCCCTATTCTTGCTGTGGGATCAGGATTCCTTTTCACCATTGTAGCTGACCTGGGACCTCTGCAGACAGACATCCTCACAGGAGATCCAGACAGTGGTAAAGAAAAGAGTTACAACCTGGGCAAGCCACTGGACTTTTGGCTGATGAGGACCTTAGGGGCAGATGATGTGGTACTCCTCCTTGTATGAGTGGGGAATGTCAGGCACATTGTCCCCTGGCAATTGCCCTGATCCAGCCCACTTCCTAGAAACCCAAATGGTACCCCTCCAGTGGTCCTCTCTGCCCAACTGGCTGGCACTCCTGGTGGCTGTTCCACTCCAACTACTCAGGCTTAGCAGAAATCCTGATTTCAGATAACCCTCCTTTTTCCTTCTTTTCCAGTCTTTCTTCAATTCCAGAACATATCCACATTACCCTCCCACTCCAAATTTTTGTTTTATTATTTTCTTTCATTAAACTTTTAAGTGTAATTTTAATGCTATCCTAAATAATTAGTGTGTATACACAGGCAAACACACAAACACACACACACACACAATAAGGAGGTTTGCTTTAGGGGAAGGATGGCTTGGTCTTCAAAATTACAATGGCTAGCAGGGAAAATGTCTGTATTTCATTCTAAGGAAGGTCACCTCCCTGTCTATAAGAGAAATTGACTTCTCCTAATGCAGCAAAGAAAAAGGCAAAAAGTAAGTTGAATTGTTGACATTAAAAAAAAATAGATTGGACATAAATATTCGGCTGCATGTCTGTGAAGGCTCCAGCCAAAGTGGTTTAATGATGCTGGCTCAGAGAAGGGCTGGGAGCACTCCAAGACTGGTCAGGGAGACAGTAGAAGCCACCAGAAAAAATGGTAGAAGACACCAGCAGAGGTGGCACCTGGGTGGCCCTTACTTGACTGTCAACTTCAGAGCATTTCCCCCAACCTCTGCCATTTTGTTCTGGTTTCCTAGATTAAATGGCCTGGTGGAGTTCTACTGGAAGCCCCAGATAGGCAGCTGGTAAGCTGTCTGAGTGTTCTTAGCTTAAGGTAACAGAGGGAAGACTAGAGAGGTACATGAAAAACCTTTGCAATGGAGATTCTTCTTTTGAAGCTGAGATTTGAATTCTCATCAGGAGAGCAGCCGGATGTGCACATTATTCTCTGCAAGAGTACTAGCTAAAAAGGGTAAGTTGAGGCTAAAATCCAGGCCTGCCACGGGACTACATTTATTCCAAACAAGCTTCTTTTCTAAGTCCCATAAGGGCACTGAAAGGGTTAGCAACCCCTCCTAAGGAGCTGCTCTGAGATTATGCTGCTCCTGTCATGCCAACCCTCATGGTCCACAGGCATGTCTCCTGCCCATAAAAAAGGCTGGAAGCAGCAGGAAAAAATACCGTCATCACCATGTTCACATCCTCCCCAGCACTCCCTTACTCCTCTCTATAGACAGTGGCTACTTGAGATCGAAGTCTTCCAGGGAGAAAGCATCGGGGCCTGAGTTGTCTAGAAAATTTGTTTTCTTTTCAGCTGTTGCTGTCCAACTGTGAGCAAGTCACCCAATCTTGTTAAACCTTGGTTTCTTCATTCCTAAAATGAAATCAATCCCAGTCCTACCTACCTCCAAGTTTACTGTGACAATTAAATGAAATGGTTCCCCTGCCCTCAATCTAGTTTCCAGAATTCTTAGGAAGCAGTGCTAGAGAGAGCTTTGAGAAACAATCAGACCAGCCTCCATCCTGTTCTCTGCCCCATCCTACCCGACTTCAAGCCAGTGATAACTCAATCTTTGCAATGTGCCAAGACCCTGCTCCTTAAAATGCTGGAGGGTATTTTACCAAAGAAAATGTCCCTAGGGGTTTGCAGGAGTGGCCCTAAGCAGTCACAGGCCCGGGGCCATTTTCCGTCTCTCAGCAGCATGCATCTAGGAAGTGGAGGGAGAGGAGAGAGGGGAGGAAGGGCTGCCAGAGGATGCTTAAATATACCTGCCTGTCATCTGCTGCCCTCTGCCCAGGCCATATCCTGAGATGATGTGGGGAAAGGCTGACCTGTCCCCTTAGCAGTGTTCAGAGGCTAGCTCAGATGTTGTTGTCACAATGCACATATGGTGGGTCCCTTTGCCCTTCAACCCAGCGCCCCTTGCAGAGCAAATCCCATGGTGAGATCATTATTTGCATCAACCTTCGGCTGCCAGTCTGGTGCTCCCAAAGCTGTCTATCTAGAAGCCCATGGGACTAAAGATTTAGTAGCCGATCAGGCACCAGGTCTTCCAATTTACAGTTCAGAGAAAAGAAACCCTATTAATCTGGCACCTTTTATTCCATTGTAAATTCCGGCCATATTTAACTCAGCCGCCATCAAGGTTTCCCTACTATCTGCCAACAGCAGGCCCATAATATAAAGCTTGCCAATTCAAGGAGAAATTAAGATCCTGCTTAGTATTCAAAGGGTGATCCCTTTCACTAGCTTCCTTTCCGAAGTTCCCCAACATATCCATTGAGGCAGGGGCAGAACATATCTGATCTAGCTTAGGGAAGCCCTTTTGGTCATGCAGCTGGAGAAAAAGAGGCCTGGTTTCCTTCCACCTTGTAAAAAACAAACTCAGCCTGCACTGTCTGTGATGATCAGACAGTCCCTTCCTCTCATAAAGCCTACAGAACAAAAATGACTCTCCAAGGCCTCAGGGCTCACAAGTGGCAGAGCCAGGGCCAGAGGAGAGAAAAAAAAAAAAAAGAAAAATGTATGTATGTACTTATTTAGTGAGTAACTCCCATGTTCAAGACACTGTTACATATTCTTTTCTATTAAATACACCCCTGCAAGCCCAGTGTTATTAGCTCCATCTAACAAAGAAGAAACTGAGGCTCAGATCACCCAGCTACTAAGGCTTAGGCCTGCAATTAGTCTCTGTCTCCAGAGGCAATTTATTCAGAGTCAACAAGTATTTTCTGAGAGGCTGTTATGTGTCAGGCACAGTGCTAGAAGAAGGGATTATAGAGGTGAACATGAGATCTTTGTCTTCTGTTCTAAGGAAAAGAGACAGAAATAAAGAAATAAATGAGAAATGTGTGAGAGTGATGAGTACTCTGCAGAAAATGAAAATTGGGTCATGTGATAGAGAGGGGCAACATTAGATTGAATAGTCAGGGAAGGCCACTATGAGGAAGTGCCATTTAAAGAGACATCTAATGGCAAGAAAAAGCCAGTTCAGACAAAAGGGGAGTAAAGGAGAATGTAAGCAGAAGGAACGGCCCCTGCAAAGAGCCCAAGGTAGAAGTGATGGCGGCTGGCTTCTATCTAGGAAACAGGCAGAGGGGCAGCGTGAGGAGACGGAGGAGTGTCAGGTCAGTCCCCAGCAGTAGACAAGGGCCAGAGTAAGGAGTTGAGATTTTATTCCAAGTGGAATGAGAAATCATTGGAAGGTTTTAAGTGGGAAACTGACGTCATCTTTATGATTTAAAAAGAGCCACTGGCCCATACGGCTTGGGTGAGAGTGATAAGATGTCACTGTTTTCCTGGTTAATAGTTTCTGATAAATTCTCTCAACTGGCCAAGTGAGCCAGCTCTACAGTGTTATCTAAGCCCCTTCCCTGGCTCCTGAAATACTTACCAGTAAGCTTTCCTTCAGGCAAAGAAAACAATGGTCCTTTAAAAATAAGCACATGAAGAAATGGGAACCCACTGAACCTGAGTCAGCCCTGACACACAGAAGCAGTTGGCCTGACAGGTTATTCCCAGTTCATGAACCTGAGGTAAGGAGACCCAGGTTGCCATGTATTGATGAGGGGAGGACAGAGGAAGAGAAACTTAGATCACGAATTGAACCAGGAGTCCTTCAAAATCCAGTAGCCCTAAAAGCCTGCCTGACCACCCAAACTTTAGTGTGTTTGAAAACCAGCAGTAAGTTGACTAAGTAGCTTCCCATCTCTTGATGGAAACTGGCAGCTGTAAGTTCGGTCTGCAGCTCAAGTCCCTGGTGGGCCACGGAAAGCAAAGTTCTCCTTCTGTCTCATGGAGCATCCAACCCTCTTCATCTCCTCAAAGGGTTGCTTAGATATGATACCTGGACCACTGGGCCATCTGCTTTAGAACTACATGGAGCACTGCTGATTGCCCAGTAGGGCCAGGGAATGTGAATTTGCAAGCATGGCACCATTCTAGTGCTCACCAATATTTGTGGATTGCTGGAAGCCCAGCTGCAGGTGGAGCTCCTGGTGGAGGAGGCTTCCAGGTATTGCTCAGGTTGACTCCTGCTCCTAACAGTTCACAGCTCCACCCTTTTCGAAACGAGAATTATTTGTCCTCAAAAGCCCTGTGAGAAGGTAAGGAGGACTAGGATCCTTTCCTTTCTGGAGGTCACGAAATAGAGAAAAGGGTTTGGTGACTTATGAAAGGCCACGTAGCAGGTAGAGAGTAAAACTTGGATTTGAATCAAGTCTTATGAATTCAAACCCTGTGGTATTTCAAACGATAGAAACCATCTGTCCCAGAAACAGGGAGCAATGCACCCGCTTTACAGCACTGGGAGGAGGCTGTGGGGACCCTGGAGGCAGAGTCGCTGTTTGGAAAGCACCATGCAGAAAAAGAAATGCTGTGTTCTGAGGAGAACTTAATTGATCTGATTTATCTCAACATGGATAAGGAACTATCAAGCTCCTACCAGTACATGGAGTCCTGGTTCACTGTCCTCTCCCTGAGGCAGGTTTTAAAAAGTTATAAAAGACTGCATTTTTATCTCTCAACGCCTACCCTGGTAGATTAATCTCTTTCCTGATCACACTGATGCCCTTCCCCCAGCCCCTTCCCAGCACAGAGAGAGAGGTACTGAAAGTTTTTCTCAATGTGGGGAGGAGGCAAAAGGTAAGAAGATGGGGATTTGGGGTGGAATTTCTGTTTGTTCCTGAGCCAAGAATGCTTGTCCCACTCTAGGCGCTTCAGGGAAAGGAGTGGAACTAGTTGTAAGGGGCTTCAAAGAAAAATCACAACTGATTGGCAAGTCTGAATTCTGTCCAACTTGGAGTGAATCTCAGGGGTATTAGTGGGATGTGACAGAGATTTTTAGCTCCTCCTGAGGGCTATCAGTCTAGCCAGACTAAATCAATGATCCTCAAACCCTAAAGTAGATAATAATCACAACGAATTTTGCTTAAAATTCAGATTCCTAGGCCCAACCCCAAAGACTCTGACTCAAGAGGCTTGGGATGGGAAATGAAAATCTACCCTTTAGCAATGACCCCCCAGATCATTCTAATAAGGTGGTCTACAAGATCATACCTTGAGAACAACTTGACCACCTGGACCAGATCCAGGGCTAGGATTCCCAGATACCCTTCCTGGCACAACTTTACCTAGACAGAGAAGGATTACTTCAAGTAGGAGCCTAACAACTCCCACACCTCCCTTCTGGTCCCAGAGCAGAACTGCTCCTCAGTGATATGATGAGAAGACTTCCTCTTCCCAGCATCTAAATTCCATTTCCTGATTCCTTTCTACCCTGTGACACTATCCAACTTGACTCCTTTGGTGCCTTGTGAAATGGTTGTCTATGGATTATAGGTTATATAGGAAGAGGAATGAGGCCAGGAGGGAGCAATGGCCTAGAAAGGTGGAGAAGGTCAGTGTTCTACAAGGACCATGATGAGACTGATGAGGAGGTAGAATGGAGAGATAAAACAGTCCCTGGTGATAGCAGGATCCAGATGTCTCCACTGAGAGGGTCTGGAATGAACTTCTGTGTGACAAGCAGAGACTCTGAGGCTGTGGAATTAAGCATATCATCCACATGGACATTGAGGTTGCCCAGGCAATGATAAGAAATGGTTTGCAGAGGAAGACCATAAGCCAGAAGCTGAATACTTCAATGAAGAGATGGCCATGGCCAGCAGATCAGTAGGTGACAACAAGCTGTGGGTGTCATAGCCTGGCGAAGGAGCAATGTTGAACAATAATGGTTGAAAGAAGGAATGAATGTGTAGAGAATTTCAACCTGATCTCCAGGCTGGAGCTGAAGGAAGGGTAGGTGGAAAGAGAAACAAAGAAAGTGAGTAACTTCCAAGGAGAAGGTTGCAAAAGAATTGGTCCTATCAGGTGGAAGCCAGAAGTCAATTAACACAGTGTTGTACAGTGCTTTAGGAATCAAATAGACCTGAATTCTGGCCTGACTCTGCCAATTTCTAACTGTGCAACCTGGGGCCATTCAATTCATTCAATTCATCTCCCATTGTCTCATTTTCCTTATCTGTGTGAAATGGAGATAAAAACACTGCCTACCTTATAAGAGTTTCATAAGGGATTGATAAATTAACGTATGTGGCTGATTAGCACAGTACCTCACACATATTAATGCCCAATAAGTTAGCTCTTATTTAATGAATGGATGAAATAATCTAGAAATAGTGTGGGGCTGAGAAAAAAATTGCTGATTTTGACAGAGCCTAGCTAGATGCTTATCATTCCATTTCCTCTTCCTGGGCACACAGGAAGCCTCCTTTGCAGTTTGATTGGCTCTTATGTGAAATAAGACCTTTCTATGAAGTAATTTTGAATGTCTTCTGAGGAACACATATCAGGCACAAGAAAGCAACCAAAGGAACTATAAGTGCAGAACAAATAGAAAAAGAGAGTCCAGTTCTCTCCTTTGAATTGGAAACAGGCCCTGCTTCCCCTCCTTAACTCCTCCTGTGGGTAAGACTTTGTGTTCTACAGATGGGTTACAGTTGAAAGATAGTAGAGAATGAAATCGACCTAGAGCACCACTGATAAGAGCTGATACAGCAAGACGCCTACAACACGAGTCATCATCTTCATGGATGAAGTTGCCAATGCCAAGTGCCATTCCCAGCACACATAGCCGTATTCTCACCCAATCTTCTAAATCTCTGATAGGTCCTATTTTCTTGAAGGCTGTGGAGCATGTTGACAAGTATGGGTGGGGGACAGGGCAGAGCTGTGCCACTCATTCAGGTTACCCATACCTACAGTCTTGACCTCATTAGTGACATATTGTAATAGGCTGAACACAACCACAAAATTTTGATGGAGTATACAAATGGAAACCATGAAATGGTCAAATTCTGTATTTATTTATTTAAGAAATATCCCTAGAGTTCCTTCTAGATGCAAGACACCATGCTAGGTGCTAAGGGTTGTTAGCAAACAACCCAGACAAGGTCCCAATCTTCCTGGAAGATAATTAAAGCAAGCGATTGCAGTGAGGTTCTAAGGAGGTTAGGATAGGGAAGGTGTTACATAGATTTGATGAAAATCTAATTGCCATTTTCTTTTCATCTGTTCCCTGTGGTTTGAATAACCCTGTACAAGCCTTGTGTGTGAGAGAGAGTCTGAATTTTATCATCTTTATGATGGAACATCACACCTCTCCCCATAAGAATTGAATTATTGCCAAGAGATTCTCAGTCTATCTTCCCTTCTGAAGGCCTCAATGTGCTGAATGGTGAGAGAATTTGTTTACCAAAGTAAACAAAGCTGAAAGTCCATTTCAGGCAGACAAAAATCACCAGCTGGGGGCATATCTCTGTGGCTCATTCTGAATCCCAGCTGTCTGCATGCCTTCTGAATGTGACCTGAACCCTTTAAAATGATCCCCACCCTATCCCTGCTCTCCTGTCTCTTATCAGTATGGCTAACAGGGCACACTGTAATCTTCTCTCTTATGTTTCTCAAAAATGTGGCCTGAGTACCAACAGCATCTCTAGCCACTGGATACTTGTTTAATGCAGAATCACAGGCCCTAACCTACACCTCCTGAATCAGAATCCAAATTTTAACACAATTCCCAGATGCTTTAATGTGCATTAAAATTTGGGGCACATTGGCTTTGAATATAAGCTGATTTCTACCCAGCTTCTTCTACCAAACTGCACACAATCTTTTGTTCTAAAAATAAGCACCTACTATGTGCTGACACCCTGCTAGGTGCAGGAGTTACACTGTTGAACCCTCAGAATGACAAGAAAAACATCTGTCTGAAATCTTTTTGGAATGAAGTAAGTTATACAGTAATAAGAAGTGGCAGCGACTGGCCCAGAGACAAGTCCACACAGTAGAACATGAGAACTGCTCTGACATAGATGACAAAAGGGGCTGTGGGAACAAGGAAGGAGTTAAGTTGGCATAAGCAGTTTAATAAGACTCCACAAAGGAGGCAATGCTTGGGCTTAACATGGAAGGATGAGTAAGGGCGGAGTGGGTGGAACAGCAAGAGGATAAAATTGCTGGCCAAGGGATAGGAATGATGGATGTCAAAGCAAGAGGAGGCCTGTTCTGCTCTTGGCTGGAGGCCCAAGCTCTGCGCTCATCATGGGAAAGCTCTCTGCCACTTGGGGCTCTGCCAACAATCACTATGAGGCCTTGGGCAAATCTCTGCTCCCCTCTGGGCCTTATGTTCATCTAAAACTTACAGGTTGGACCAGCACTTGGAGATTTTCAAATGTAGAGTTCCTTCAAGAACTTCAGCAATGGCTAAAAAAAAAAAATGGAAAGAGGCAGGACTCTGGGCCTGGCCATTAGAACATCTGCCAAGTTGTATTCATTTTCCATGTGGGGTAACTGCTTAGCTTTAAGGGGGTGGAGGGGAATGTGGCGTGAGATTGCACATCTTTATGTCAGAGATCAGAATATGCCACCCCAAAATATGATGTTGGAGGGGTGCAGGACAAGCCACCCCAAATTATGTCGCTTTAGTATTTTGATTATTTTGAGCTAAAAACACTTGAAAAATAGCAGATGCAGGGAGAGGCTTTCACTGAAGTCTCCTTATCTGCCTGAAGACAGATCCTTCAAAAAGAATTCAATTGGCATAAATCCCTTTGCTGGGAGTTTCATCAACCAGGGAAGGTTGGCTCTTATCACAGGAGAGGAGGCTATAGACGATCCTTGACTTAGGATGGTTTGATTTATGATTTCTCGACTTTAGGGTGATGCAAAGGTGATATAGGCATTCAGTAGTATTTTGAGTACCCATACAACCATTCTGTGCTTTCACTTTCAGTATGGTATTTAGCAAATTACATGAGATACTCAACACTTTATTATAAAACAGGCTTTGTATTAGATGATTTGACCCAACTGTAGGCTAATGTAAGCTGAGCGCATGTAATGCAGGCTAGGCTAAGCTATGATGTTCAGTAGCTTCAGTAGGTTAGGCAAACTGAACGCATTTTCAACTTATGATACATTTATCAGGATGTAACCCCATCTTAAGTCAAAGAGCATCTGTAGAAGTTGACACTAAACCCAGACAAACTTTGTCACAAAATATCATATCCTATTTATTCTTTTAAAAGCCCATTCATCTTTTATAAAAATCACTTACTTTCCCTCAGGTGGCCTACATCCCTCTCCCCCTCCCCTATTAAGATGGATATACAGCTTTTTAAATATCACCACTTTTGGGGGTATTTGCTTTTCCCCCCAGGATGCCCCTGTGCATCTAACATTAAACATTAATACATTTGTATGCCTATTCTTCTGTTAATATGCCTGTTGTCAGTTTACTTCATAGACCTAGCTATTGAACCTAAAGGATAAAGGAAAAGTCTTTCTTCCCTACACTTTCAAAGTGTGAAAACAACTGAAGGGGGTGACTTCTGAGACCTCAAGCCAGTGCTAATACTTAATGCTTATCCAGTTCTGCAATAAGTCTCCAGGTTGTCACGCAAATCAGACTTTCAGCTCTATGGTCACAGGCCTCCTCTCACTGTGTGTCTTATAGCTATAATTTCTATATCTTTTAAAGAGCAGAATCCCTTTCCTAAATGATATTACACAGGAAATCCACAATATGAATAACTGATCAAGTGAATACACAGATTTCTAGATAGGATAAATCTTCATTATTTGGCAATACTTTATGTGGAGTCTGCTTGTCCCTGTCACCACCATCCCCAGCCCTTCTGTAGATTCCCAGGGTTGAGAGTGAAAATGACTCAGAGGAAGTGGTTCAAGCTGAGATGAAGTGTGCAGTAAGTCCTGGAGCTATGGAAGCAAAGAGCTTCCCTAGAGGAAGGTGTAGTGGGACCTAGGAGCAGTGGCTTGAAAAGATTTGGGGAATGGAAAAAGGGAAAAGGACAGGACCAGATGAAAGAAGACAAACAAACAGGAAGACAAGAACAGAATGAAAGCTTCCTCAAAGGCCAATTAAGTGATCCGAAGGAAGGCTATATGAAGCCTTAGCAACTGCTGCATACACAGCCACCTTTTAAAGAAAGTGGCCCCTATCCATCCTTTTCCACTTGCTGACTATTATAGGCTGAATTATGCCCCCTAATAAGATATGTTGAAGCTCTGACTCATAGCACCTCAGAATATGACATTATTTGAAACTAGGGTCATTGTGGATGTAATTAGTTAAAATGAGGTCATCCCAGAGTAAGATGGGCCCTTAATTCATTATGACAGATATCCTTCAAAGACAGAAGAGTCTCAGAGACCCATAGGGAGAATGCCATGTGGTGACAGAGGTAGAGATTGACATGCTGCTGCTGTAACACCAAAGATCACTGGCCACCACCAGAAGCCAGGAAGAGACAAGGGAAATGTCTGTCCAGAGTCTCAGAGGAAGCAGGGCCATACTGACACCCAATTTTGGACTTAAAGCTTCCAGAACTGTGAGAAAATACATTTCTGTTGTTTTAAGCAGCCCAGTTGGTGGTACTTTGTTATGACAGCCCTAGGAAGTCAATTCATTTGCTGTGGCACAAGCAGTAGTAGGTTTTGCTAGAGAGATCATCCCTGCTACTCAGCAGATCAGTTGGGCATGGACGCAGACAAAGACAACTGGGTGCCTCTGAGCCAGCCTGTCACTCTTTGTCCAGTTGGGACATTTCCACAGAGTGGAGGCAAAGCAATCCAATGATTCCCTGGCTGTGGAGCCACATAAATGCAGATAAAGAGAGGAAAAGAGAGAGAGAGAGAGAAGGAAAGAATGAGAAAGAGTGCAGATTAAGATCCAGCTCAACCCTTGTCATGATTTGCCAAACAGAATCCAATCCTAGTCAAATCTTCAGCTAGAAGGAGGAGGTATCCACTACAGAGAAGGGATCTTTGGCGTAACAGAGGGATATTCCCCAGAATTCCCCAGAAGGGAATATGATGTGGGCAGGCACTGCAAAACAGACCTGCTGCAGGGGTGAAACATTGCCCTTATAATAACTGCAAAGCCTGAGCTTGCAGGCAAGAAGAAAAGAAAGGGAAGCAAATGTATATAAAGAAGTGTGGAGGAACAGAGGGATGTAGAATGCCCAACCATCCCAGATTGCCTTGCACTGAGGGGGTTCCCGGGACATAAGACTTTCAGGTTTAATACTGGGACAACCCTGAATAAACGAGGATGAATTGGCCAGCCAAAGACAGTAAAAGAGTAAAGTGGAAGAAGCAAGTTTTGCATGGTGAAATATATTGTCAGCACCCAGAACATGTTTACAGAAGTGACCTAAGCCAATACAGATCAATCTAGACCAGGAGAGCCCATGGTCCCACTGCAACCTGGCTAGATGGGCCTGTCAGTGGATTCAGGGGAACTTGCACTGAGGATTCACTCAGAACCTCTATGCTGACCAAGGGCCCTTGGGATGGCAATGGTAGGTGACATGAGGATCAGATCCCTTTCTGCAGTCTGGAAGGCTTGCCCTGTCCAGCAATCCTCTCTAAGGGGATGAGCTCTTCACACTGAACTGGAGGATTTACCTTCTTGTCCAGTGGGGTTGGCCTGCCATATTCCTCAGCCCTACAGGGAACCCTGTAAGTAATGAGTCCAAGGCCCTGTCTACAGAGATACTTTTTTATATCTCCTTGTCTTTTACCCCACACCTGCCACAAATTTTATATGAAATATTCCCAAGGATGCATGAAAAATGTCATTCACCAACTTATCCCCACCAGGTGGGAGAAGGCCTCCTGTTTATGTTTCCATGTCCTTCCAGGCATATGCCCATCATAGCACTTTCAGAGTATATTAGGGTCATTGATTTTATTTTTCACCTTCTCAGCTTGTGATCAATTTCCTTCATAGTAGAGCCCATACCTTGCTCATCTTTGAAATCCTAGAGCCCAGGAAAACACCTGGTATGTAGGAGTTTCTCATGCACTGTCTGGCAAGTAAACTAATTAATTAATTAGTTCATGTTGATCAAGATGATCCTTCTCTTTGTGTCAAGTGTCTAACACTTGCTAGATCTAAGACCCAGCACTTTCTTGGTTTTTAATATATCAGTCATTAAGCCATCTGCATGCAGATGAGAGGTAGAAAACACTTCAGAGCCCTGCAGCCTCAGAGGGTCACCTGAGTGAGCAGTCAATGCGGCCAGCTCTAAAGGGCTTATGTCAAGGCAGTCACAAGGGCTTGGGAAGGAGATGCAGACACCTGTGCCCATTACAATTATCCTACTTCTACTCTCACCTGTTACTGCGGTTCTAAACAAAGAGAATAAAATAAAATAAAACTGAGTCAAGGAAAAGACCAGCTGCTGAGCTCCAGACAGAAGCTCAATAAAAGATAAACAGAATGGTATAAATTGGCTAAGAGAACATTGGCTGGAATACTCTATGACATTAATTCTATCTTATTAAGAAGGCCCTTGATGATGAGGTGGTAGACCTGGGTCTGATCTCCATTCCACTACTATATATCTCCAGTCAGGTGGTCTAGCCTCTCTGAGCCTCTATTAGCCCAACTCTAGCTTGCTAATAACCTTCTGCTCCAGGTCCGTCGAATAGACATCTGAACCAACACATGTCCGACATTTTGACCTCTTCTAACGAGGCGCCCTAGAGAAATTCAAAGCAGAGAATTTTCTCTGCCCTAAAATGACTCCCAGAGCTCCAAGGACAATTATTTTAGCAAACCTATTGATGGACTTAAAGTTTATGAACCCGAAAGCTAATGTACCTTCCTCTGTAAAAAGCAAGGCACTGCTAGATTTTTGTCTGCATAAAAACTCAAACACTCACCTGGGAAGTCTGTTAGTAAATAAAGCTTATCTTTTGCAAGATGCAAGCATTCTACTTCTAGTTTGGCACTGTTCAAAATTCTTTTGTTCTGAAATTTGAAAAAGGATAGGCCTAATGTTTCACTGACCTCCTGTGGGCATAAGGAAGAAGTACACTAATTCCTCAGATCTGGATATCCTGGTGTGGTCTAAGGAAGAACGTCTTAAATCTTACCTACCTGATGGAAAATTCATACAGAATAAGATTACACATGCTATTTCATCTCTTCTCCCAGGATCCCTCAGGCCCGTCATAAGTTCCTAATCTAACGGGTACTTAAATCCATTAGATAGATTTCTACAATGGCAGAGCAGGCAGTGTGCACAGGAATCATATGAGGAATTGATTGAAACATAGATTCCTGAGTTCCATTTAAGAGATTCTGACTTTGTGGGTCTGGGGTGGACCTGGGAATTTGTATTATTTTACTAAGCAAATGATTTTGATTCTGATGCAAACAGCACTGTGGATTTTACTTCGGAAAATACCAACTCGCCAAATCCCCTCATGTTATAAATAAGGAAATTAAGACATTGAGAAGTTAAATGTTTTGCCCAAACCCAAACGGCTAATTAGAGGCAAATCTGGACTTGGCACTAACTTCTGATTCTGTCATTTGCAATCAAAATAGTCACCATTTAAGGGCACTTATTATTCATCAGGTGCTGTGCTAAATGCATTGGCTCATATAATCCTTCCATCAATTCTGCGGAGAAGACGGGTAGTATTACTAACTCCATTTTATAGGTGAGGAAACAGAGGCTTAGAGAGGTGAAATGACACATTCAGGTACCAAAAAGCAGAACAAGACTCAAACTCAGTGCATGTGACTTTAAACTAAAGCTCTCCCCCACTGCCCCACTCTGCCTCAGAAGCATAGCACAGACTTTAATCTTTTGTGGCCCTCTGAAAAGCAGGAGTCCCCCCAAATTTGAAATGTAATGATGCACATGTGACATCCAAGGACACACTTTAGCAAACCTTCTCTCTTCCCTCAAGAGAGAGAATCTTCAAGATGGGGCATCTTTGTAAATCTCAGAAAAGGAATCTTCTTCACCACACCCTGAAGCAACTTGAACTCAGTATCAGCTGGGGCCTTTCAATCAACTGGAAGATCTGTGCTGAGGTTGTAATCAGAGCCTCTTCAACAAGCATCAGACCACTGAAACTCAGGAATACAGAGAGCTGTTCAACTAGGGGATGTCTTGGAGAAAAATAAAGACTCTTCAGAAAGATGGGTTCAAAATCCAGTCGGGGAAGTCACTGACAAGCACCGTTTAAATGAATCAAAGGAAGAAGCAGGATTATTCTCATGCACCTATTTCTCTCATTAAGCCTTGTATTAGTTATCCGTTGCTATATGACAAATTATCCTAAAAGTTAGCAGCTTGAAACAACATTTATTATCTCACACAATTTCTGAGGTTGAGAAATTTTGGAGCGACTTAGTTAAGTGGTTCTGGCTAGCCTCTGAAGTTGCAGTCAAGCTGTAGGCTGAGCTGCAATCTTCTGAAGACTGGAGGATCTGCTTCCAAGCTCATGCATGTGGTTATTGGGTAGCCTCAGTCTCTCACCAGCTGAACACCTCAGTTCCTTGCCACATGGGCTATTCCACAGGGCTGCCTTAGTGTCCTCAAGACATGGAGGTGGTCTCCCTCAGAGTGAGTGATAGAAAAAGAGAGAAGCCACAATGGAAGTTCTGCTTTTTTATAACATAAACTCAGAAGGAAAATGCATATTCTGTTGGTCACAGAGAATAACCCTGCTGCCATGTGGGAGGGGTTGTGAAAGGAAAATAAATATTGCGGCCTCAAAATCACTCAAGCTGGGAACTGCTTAGGGCAAACCTGTCTCCCATTCTATTCAAAGTCACCCCTCTGCTCACTGAGATAAATGCGTATCTGATTACCTCCTTTGGAGAGGCTAATCAGAAGCTCAAAAGAGTGCAACCATTTGTCTCTTATCTACCTATGACCTGGAAGCTCTCTCCCCGCTGAGTCTTCCTGCCTTTGCTTCTAGTTGTCCCACCTTTCCAGACTGAACCAATGCTCATCTTACATATGTTGATTGATAGCTCGTGTCTCCCTAAAATATATAAAACCAAACTGCTCTGACCACCTTCAACACATGTCATCAGGACCTCCTGAGGCTCTGTCACAGGCATACATCCTCAACTTTGACAAAATAAACTTTCTAAATTAACTGAGACCTGTCTCTGATTTTGAGGTTTCACGGGATCTATACAATAGTATAAATATCAAGAGGTGGAGACTTGTGGAGGACTGTTTTGAGTCTGGCTACTGCAAACTCCTTCTCCTGCTCACCTTTCCTTGTCCATACAGGTCCAGGTAACTCCTCCATGGGCTACACACTATGCTAAGCACCAGTGAGGTAGTTGTGACAACAGCCAGTCTCTTGCATCTTGGAGTTTTCTATTTAATGTAAGAAATAGACATTAGACAAGTAATCACACAAGTAAATGTACAACTAAAAATCTGTGAAGAAACTGAGAAGGAAAAGTATGATACATGATATAAGAGTATAACATGTGGTGGGGGAGCTGTAATTTGCACTGAGGAAGTTAAAGAAAGCTTTCCTAAATAAGTAAAATTTTAAATTAAGTCTTCAAGGCCAAATAGGATTAAGCTAAAACAAGAATGGGAGAAAGACCATCCTGGCAGGAAAACAGCATGAACGTATTTCCTATAAAGGGGAAGATCATGACACATCCAGGGATATGAAAAGCCAGTGTAGCTAGAGCTCAGTGGGCAAGGAGGCAGTGAGTTCCTCCCTCCTGGAACACTCTCTCCACTCCTTGTCTCTTCTCTAAAGTATACCCTTAGAGCTCAAATGAAGCCTCACCTCCTCTACAAGTTCTTACCTACTCCAACCGTCATCTCTCATGCCTTGTTCAACCCTACACAACCTAACTCTAATGCCTTGAAATTTCAGAGTAGTACATATCACACTGTGCTATTTTATAGATTTTTTTCTTTCTCAGTACAATAAACTCTCTTTGCAAGAAACTATAACTAGTTTCTATATCCTTGTGTACCTAATGTAATGCATAACATATAATAGACATTCAATACGCTCAAATAAATGATCAAAAACCCCATGCAAAAAGTAGGATTGTAGCCCTGCTTGCATGCTTGTACATATACATGACTGTGCTTTTTTTTTTCTAAAGGCATGCATCACACACACACACACACACACACACACACACACACACACACATCTAAAGAGCAGGTTCTGAAAGTGGGGATGGTAGACAGGAAAACTAAAATCTGGTGGGATTAGACCATCCTGAGTGATTTTAATCCATTCAAAGGAAGTAAGGACTTGTAAATATTTGAATGATAAAAGATTAAACACACACGGTTAGATTTGCTCTCTCCAAAAATCTTACTAATATTACAGCAAAGGGATTTTTAAACATAACTTTAAAGACAAACAATACAAAATGATGCAAGCAACAACATTTTATAAGTTGGGCTACTACTCAGATAAAGTAGCTTAGTGATTTAACAAACTTGAAAAAGTTAAACCCTAAGCTAGTGGTAGAGAAATCCAGCAAATAAATCAATGTATACTGAGGAACTTCCAAAGGCTCTGGAATTGGCAGCAAGGCAATTCTGGAAGTGGGGATGAAAGTGAAACTGAAAATAGGAGAAAGGGTCTAAAGTCAGCTTAGAAGCAGTTGCTCCTAGAAACATGCCTTGAATGACATGCAAGGCAATTCATAGAAAAACTATTACTATGGTACCATACTTACAAAGCTCAAAACAGGCAAAACTGAAAACATACATTGTTTATAGATATATACATATATGATTAAACTATATTTTAAAAGCAGGGAAATGATTAATACAAAATTCATGACAGTAATTACCTCTGTGTCAGGATGGTGAAGGAGGCAGGGAGGTGGAAAAGGGAAGAAACGCAGAGGTAGGTACAAAAATATTTGGAATGCCTTTGTTCTTAATTGATGTTCATTTTGTTAACATGCTTCATAATTTACATATGTGTTATTAATATGGTTTGCATATAATATTTGTATATTTTATCTTGTATAAATATTACATTGTGTAAAAATATAAACAGACAGCCAGATCTCTTTCTTCCAAGTGTCTGGGTGACTGCCTGTTCCCCATCCAACATGAGCTGAAGATATCATCTCTAAAGAGAGTAAAACCAAGGGTATTTGGAATAACAGAGAGGGTTGAAGGGTAGAAGACAGGTGCCATACTTTAATCAAGCCTAAAATGAATATTGTGTTCCGTGAATTGTGATCTTCAGCCTTCTCCTTCCAATCAGTTTCCAGCATGCTTGCAGCCAGGCCTATAAGGTAGATATTTGAAAGATGTTTCTTGGAGAATCAGGCCGGCCCAAAGGAAAGGGCTAGATTTTCACATGGGAGGTTTCTCAACAAATGGTCCACACTGAACACATTATAGTGAGGCTCAATAGTCAACAAACTGAACCTATGTGTTCAGGGATTTAAGTTTGCTTTTTAGTACTCATTCATAAATATTAACAAATGACCAGGGACATCTAAATATCTGAGGGAGTCCTCTAGTGGAAAAAATAAACAACAAAATCAAGGAGAAAATAACAACTTGAAAAAACAGAAAATTCAAGGAAAACAAAAGTATAAAGTTGTGTATCACCAATGTTCTCAGGAAGATAACAAGACAGATATTGTATCCATGAAACATAAGCAGCATACTATAGTGAAGGAAAGCTAAGTAAACAGAAAAGTGCTCTTGGAAATTAAAAACATAATTGCACAAATAAAATATTCAATATAAGACTTCAAATGTTAAATTCAGAAAATTTCTTAGGGTATATAAGCCAGAGGGGAGGGAAAGAGGAGAGAGAGAGAGAGAGAGTACACAAGGGAAAACAGAATAAAAATGTCTTTCTTTGAGCTGCTACAACAGAATACCATAGACTAGGTGGCTTATGAACTTATTTCTTACAGTTCTAGAGGCTAGTAAGTCCAAGATCAAGGTGCTGGCAGATTCACGGCCTTCTTCTCACTGTAACGTCACATGGCAAAAGAGGGTGAGTGAGCTCTCTGTGTCCTTTTTAGAAGGGAACTAATCCCATTCATAAAGGCAGAGCCCTCATGACCTAATCACCTTCCAAAGACCCCCACCTACAAATACCATCACGTTGGGGGTTGAATTTTAACATATGAATTTGGAGAGGACACAGATGTTCTGCCTATAGCAAGAAAGACGAAGAAAATTAGAAAACTTATTCCAGAAGGTCCAATATTCAAATGGAAGAAATTCTAGAAAAAGACAACCAAGAATATGAAACATGCATGAAACAAATGAAGAGAATTTACCAAAACTAAAAGACATAAGTTTCCAAATTGAAAAGTTCCACCAAATAATCATAAAAATAGAAGTGGATAAGGACAAGCTCATACCATCATAGAAACATGGTATTTTAGAGCACTCAAGAAAAAGGAGATATCCGAAATGTCTTTGGACTTTTTGATTTTTTTCCTTTTTTTTTTTTATTTTTGAGACAGGGTCTCACTATGTTGCCTAGGCTGGTCTCACACTACCAGGCTCAAGTGATCTTTCAACCTCAGCCTCTCAAGAAGCTGGGACAAGGCACACACCATCATGAGTGGCCTGGAATTTTTAAGAGCAATACTTAGAGCTAAAAATGTGTGGGAAGTTCATCAAAATTCTGAAGGAAAGTATTTTCAACCTGGAATTCTATACCCAACAAAAGTATCAATTCACAATTAAGAATCAGAGTACAATAATGACATTTTAAGACATCCAAGGTTTAAGAAATTTACTTCCTAGGCATCCTTTCTTAAAAAGCTATCAGATAACATAAAATTGACTGCCTTTTGCATAGCAATTGTTGTAGAATTTTTCACCCTAAAATTCTGCAGTCTGTGAGAGATTTAAACCTAAGGCTCTAAGGCAACGGTTCTTAAATATTTTTAATTTCAGGATCCCTTTAAATTATTAAAATTCATTGAGTATTCCAAAGAATTTGGGTTTCTATGGACTATATGTACTGAAATTTACCATATTAAAAATAAAAACTAAGAAAAATAAAAAATGTTAAATATTTATTTTAAAATAGCATAATAAACCTATTACATGTTAATAAAACATGTTTTTATACAAATATGTGTTCAAAAAATAGAAAAAATAGTACATTGTTTTAATTTTTTTAATTTTTATTTTAGTTTTTGGGACAGGGTCTCACTCTGTCACCCAGGCTGGAGTGCAGTGGTGTGATCCCAGCTCACTTCAATGTCCACCTCCCAGAATCAAACATCTTCCCACCTCAGCCCCCCCAAGTAGCTGAGACTACGGGCACACATCACCACACCTGGCTAATTTTTGTATTTTTTGTAGAGATAAGATTTTGTCATATTGTCCAGGCTGGTCTCGAACTCCTGGGCTCAAGCAGCGATCCGCCCACCTTGACATCCCAAAGTGCTGGGACTACAGGCTCAAGCCACCACAACTGGCCTTTAATTTTTGCAAATGTGTTCAAAGTCTGACTTAATAGAAGATATTTGGATTTACATATCTGCTTCTTTTTACCTCAAACATTTATTACTTCTTGTGCTGGAAACATTCCAAATCTTCATTTCTAGCTATTTTGAAGTATACAACAGTATAGTTACTGTTAACTATTGTCATCCTCCTATGCTATCAAACACTAGAACTTATTCCTTTTATCTAATTATATTTTTGTACCCATTAACCAACCTTTTTTCATCTCCCTCTCCATTCTACCCTTTCCAATCTCTGGTATCCACCATGCCACTCTCTACCTCCATTAAATCAATTTTATTTAACACTCATGTATCAGTCAGAACATGCAATATTTGTGTTTCTGTCTCTGGCTTATTTCATTTAACATACTGTCCTCCAGGCTCATCTATGTTGCCACAAATGACAGGATCTCATTCTTTTTTATGGTTGATAATAATCTATTGTGCATATATACTACATCTTTTCTTCTTTCTCCCATTGATAATGAACACTTAGGTTGATTCTACATCTTGGCTGTTATGAATAGTGCTGCAATAAACATGGGGGTGCAGATATCTTTTTGACATACTGATTCCCTTTTCTTAGGATATTTATGCACCAGTGGGGTTGCTGGATCATAAGATAGTTCTATTTGTAGTTTTTTGAGGAAACTACATACTGTTGTCCATAATAGCTGTACTAATTTACATTTCCACCAACAGTGTATGAGAGTTCCCTTTTCTCTGCATCTTCAGCTGTACTTTTTTTGTGTTTTTGATGGTAATAGCTGTTCTAACTGGGATAAGAAACATGGAAATCGATAAGAACATGGAAATCGTTCCTTTTTTGTGTGTTTTCTTAAATTTCTTCCAGAACTGCTTTATAGTTTTTCTTGTAGAGATATTTTACCCTTTGGTTAAATTTATTCCTAGTTATGTTTTTTGTAGATATTGTAAATGAGATTGCTTTCTTGATTTCTTTTTCTGCTACTTCATTGTTGGGGTATAGAAATGCTACTGATTTTTGTATAGTGATGTCTTAGTCCATCATGTGTTGCTATAAAGGAATGCCTGAAGATAAGTTATTTATAAAGAAAAGAAGTTTCTTTGGCTTATGAATCTGCAGGCTGTACAAGAAGCACGGCACTGGCATCTGCTCTTGTGAGGGCCTCAAGCTGCTTCCATTCATGGTGAAAGGGGAAGGAGAGCTGATGTGTAGAGATCACATGATGAAGGAGGAAGCAAGAGAGCAGGCAGCAGGTGCCAGGTTTTTTTAACAACCAGCTTTCATGGAAACTAGTAGAGTGAGAACTCATTACCACAAGGACAGCACCAAACCATTCATGAGGGATTCCCCTCATACCCAAATACCTCCCAAGAGGCCTCATCTCCAACACTGGGGATCAAATTTCAACATGAGATTTGGAGGAGTCAAACCAAACTATGGCAGTTTATTTTGTATCCTGAAACTTCACTAAATTTCTTTATCACTTCTAAGAGATTTCTGGTGAAACTTGTGGATTTTCTATACATGACACCATGTTTTCTGCAAATGGACAATTTGACTTTTTCTTTTCCAATTTGTATGCTGCTTATTTCTTTCTCTTACCTAATTGGTCTGGCTAGGATTTCCAGTACTATCTTGAATAAAAGTATTGGAAGTGAACATCTTTGTCTTGTTCCAAATCTTAGAGGAAAAGCTTTCAACTTTTCCCCATTCATTATAGTGTTGGCTGTGGGTTTGTTATAGATAGGCTTTATTGTGTTGAGGTATGTTCCTTGTATACTAACTTATTGAAAGTTTTTTATCATCAGGGGATGGTGAATTTTATCATACGATGTTTCTGCATCTATTCAGATGATCATACAATTCTTGTCTATCATTTTGTTAATGTGATGTATCACATTTATTAATATGCATATGTTAAACCATCTTTGCATCCTTGGATAATTCCCACTTGATCATGGTGAATGATCATTTTATGGGCTGCTGAATTTGCTATTATTTTGTTGAGGATTTTTGCCCCTATGTTCATCAGGGATTTGCAATCAGGGTAATGTAGGCTACATAGAATAAATTCGGAAGAATTCTCTCCCCTGAAATTTTCTGGAAGAATTTGAGGAGAATTGGTGTTGGTTCTTCCTTAAATGTTCGCTAGAATTGTGCAATGAAGTGATTAGATCCTAGGCTTTTCTTTGATGGGAGACATTTTATTACAGATTTAATCTCTTTACTCATAATTTGTCTGTTCAGATTTTCTATTTCTTCTTGGTTCTATCTTGGTAGGTTGCAAGATACATTGTCCACGAATTTATCAACTTCTGCTAGGTTTTTTTTTTGTTTTTTTTTTTTTTTTTGAGATGGAGTCTGACTTTGTTGCCCAGGCTGGAGCTGGAGTGCAGTGCCGTGATCTCAGCTCACTGCAAGCTGCGCCTCCCAGGTTCACGCCATTCTCCTGCCTCAGCCTCCCGAGTAGCTGGGACTACACAGGCGCCCGCCACCATGCCTGGCTAATTTTTTGTATTTTTTTTAGTAGAGATGGGGTTTCACTGTGTTAGCCAGGATGGTCTCGATCCCCTGACCTCGTGATCTGCCCGCCTCGGCCTCCCAAAGTGCTGGGATTACAAGCGTGAGCCACTGCACCCGACCGATTTCTGCTAGGTTTTCTAATTAATTGGCAATTAGTTGTTCATAGTAGTCTATGATTCTTTGTATTTGTGCAATGTTAATTGTAATGTCTCCTTTTTAGTTTTTGACTTTATTCATTTGGATCTTTCACCTTTTTTTTTCTTGGTTAATCTTTCTAATGGTTTGTCAATTTTGTTTATCTTTTCAAAAAAGCAACTTTTTCTTTGATCTTTTAAAATTTTTTAGACTCTATATTGTTGATTTCTGCTCCTATCTTTATTATTTCCTTCCTCCTTTAATTTCGGATTTTGGTTTTTCTCGGTTGTCTAGGCCCTTGAAATGCCTTATTAGGTTGTTTATTTGCAATCTGTCTACTTTTATAATAGAGCCATTTATTGCTATTAAATTTTCTTTTTAAGACTACTTTTGCTGTATCCTATAAGTTTGGGTATATTGTGTATCTATTTTCATTTGTTTCAAGAAATTATTTAATTTCCTTCTAAATTTATTAATTGACCCATTTGTCATTTAGGAGCATGTTGTTTAATTTTCGTTTATTTATATGGTTCCAAAGTTGTTCTTGGTATTAACTTTTAGTTTTATTCCATGTGATCAGAAAAGATATTTGATATAATTTCAATTATTTTACCTCTTTTGAGGCTTGTTTTGTGGCCTAACATGTACTCTATCCCAGAGAATATTCCCTGTGCTGATGAAAAAAAAATGAGTATTCTGTAGCTGTTGGATTAAAAGTTCTGAAAATGTCTATTTGGTCCATTTGGTCTAAAATGCAGTTTAAATTCAATGCTTCTTTGCTGATTGTCTGTGTACATGATCTGTCCAATGCTGTGGGTGGAGTGTTGAAGTCCCCAACCTAAATTGGAGTCTATCTCTCCATTTAGGTCTAATCATATTTGCTTTATATATCTGAGTGTTCCAGTCTTAAGGTGTATATATATTTACAACTGTTATATACTCTTGCTAAATTGGCTCTTTTATTATTATATAATTGCTTTCTTTGTATGTTTTTAGTTTTTGACTTAATGTCTATTTTATGTAATGTAAGTATAGCAGCTACTCCTGCTCACCTCTGATTTCCATCTGCATGAAATATCTTTTTCCATCTCTTCACTTTCAGTCTATATGTGTCTATAGGTGAAGTGAGTTTATTTAAGACAGCATATAGTTGGGTCATATTTCTTATTCTCCATTTTGTATCTAGTCTATCAATGAGTTCATAATTTTATGTGTTTTCATGATAGTGATTATCATCTTTTTGTTTCCAGATGTAGGACTACCTTGATCGAACATTTCTTCTAAGACTGTCTAGTAGTGATGAATTTCCTCATTTTTTGCTTGTTTGAGAAAGTCTTTATTTCTTCCTCATTTCTGAAGGATAGCTTTACTAGGCTTTGTATTCTTGGCTGGCAATTTTTTATTTCAGCCCTTTGAATATATAATCCTATTCTCTACTGACCTGTAAGGTTTCTTTAGAGAAATCTGTTGTTAGTGTAATGGAGATTCCCCTATATATGATTTTATGCTTTTCTCTTGCAGTTTTACAATTATCTCTCTTTTTTACTTCTGACAATTTGAATATAATGTGTCTTATGGAGGTCCTTTTTGGGTTGAATCTATTTGGAGACTTTTGAGCTTCCTGGATCTGGATGTCCATATTTCTCCCCAGACTTGCAAAGTTTTCAGCTATTATTTTATTAACTAGGTTTTCTACATTTTTCTTCACTTCTTTTTCTAGAATACCCATAATACAAATATTTGTTCACTTAATAGTGTTCCACAAGTCTTGTAAGCTTTCTTCATTCATATTCTTTCTTATTTTTCTTTCTCTGAGAGTGTGACTTCAAATGATCTATATTTGAGTTCAGAAATTTTTCTCCTGCTCGATCAAGCCTGCTACTGAAACTCTCTATTGTACTCTTCATTTCATTCACTGAATTCTTCAGCTTCAGATGGTTATTTTCAATTCTTTTTCTGGCAATTCATTGATTTTCTTTTCCTTGGGATCTGTTACTAGAGAGTTATTATGTGCCTTTGGTGGTATAACAGTTCTTTACTTTTTTGTGTTTCTTTTGTCTCTGCATTGATGTCTGTGCATCTGGTAGAACAACTGTCTCTTCCAAACTTTCTAGTGTCACTTTTATAGAGAAAGACTTGCACCTGCAGTTAAACATTACAGTGCTGGTTGGAAGAGATGTGGTGACTGTTTTTGCATAGGTTCAGTGGTGTAGTCTTTGTGCAGCTTCTTCAGCTACATTCAACATAAGCAATAACTGTGGATGCCTCAGGCTGTAGAAGTTTATGGCAGTCATAGCAATTGTGTAGGTTATTAATATCCTTGGTGTCAAGGGCTTTTGGGGTCCTCTTATTGTCATTTTTCCCACGATGGGAAGACTTAGCCAAGGGGATCCTTTTTAGTGTCAGGTCTGACATGGTTCTACAAGCAGCTGCAGCAGCACTGGGTTCCAGGTGCAGGTGTCCAGAGTGGCTTTGGGGCTGGGATCCTAGCCTGAGGGTCTCATGAACCTATTGTGGCATCTGGGTTTTCCAGTGCAGGCTTGCTCCCTGTGGCAGGGATATAGGTTGCCCACAAAGCCAGGATCTGTGATTCTGAGGCACCTCCTAGCAGCTCAGACCCAGGGATCCAGATCGTAACTGTGATTCTCCCCCAGGAGGGGTAGGGTACAACACCGGAAGGGGGAGTGCTCTGGAGCTTTGGGCCCAGGGACCAGGGTATAGCTGCAATTCAGGAACTTGAGCTAATAGGTCACAGTAGCAACTCAGGTCCCAAGAGATGAGGTACTGTGTAGTGGTAATTCTAGACTCTGTGGTGGTGGGTTTCAGCAGTATCCCAGACTCTGTGAAGCCAGGTGCAGCAGCAACAAGTACCCCAGGATGGTGAAGCTCAGCTATTATTAGAGCGCTGGGATGAGGATGATGGAGACAGGAAACAGCACAATGATGACTGCACTCCCCAGAGAGTGCAGTATCTTAGCAGCTTAGCCTCAAGGAGGCTAGTCCAGCTCCAGGGAAGCAGGGTGTTAAGAGTTGTTTGGCTTGTAAGGTGAGGTCTGTCAGCTCAATCACTGCTCTGTTTCCCTGGGATGTGAGGTACCACATCAGCTCAGCCCTGGGATGCACAGCTGCACAGCTTGGCCAGGGTACTGATTCCCCAGAAGGTAATATGCTGCTTCAGTTCATGTCTGTGAGGGCATGACTATTCTGGGAAGCCCAGGCACCATTTCTGGGGGATGCAGGGTGCTGCTTCAGCTGGAGTACATGACCACTCTGGAAAGCCAAGGTGCTGTTTCTTGGGACACAGGATGCTGCTTCAGCTTAGGCACCAGGGAGGCATGACTGCTCTGAGTGGCCAAGGTACTGTTTTTCCTGGAGGCTGGGTGCTGCTTCACCTATGGCCTGAGAGGATGAGGGCAGGGGTAGGTGGAGCAGCTTCATCTCTGCTTGGCTCCACAAGGAAGTCACAGCTTTGCTCACAGCATGGCTTGGGGATGTTGTGCCACTGGGCTGGAGTGGTTTGTTGGTGGCTTAGCCTCAGGAATTAAGGGGCTACCCACCCCAAGAGCAAGACACACTCCAGCCATAGTTCCAATCCCAAGAAGGTGTAGCAAACCATAAGAGATGGGGCATAGCGTTGGCTCCTTCTCTTTGAGGCACAGCTATGTGGAATCCAGACGGATCCCTCAAATGGGTGTGGTGCCCCTGAGGACTGCAGGTGAACCAGAATGGTGAGGCCTGTAGGTATGAAGGTGTGGATGGGGTTGCTAGGATCCTCTTCTTTATCTCCTTGCCTTAGAGAGAAGTTTCTCCTGATTCCCAGCTGATCCGGTTGGGGATGGGGTGGTGGAGGCCTGGTGTTTCCTTTCATTCTCTATGTGACTATCCTGAGTTTCTGTGCTCTCCAGGGTTTCTGTTACCCCTTGGACACACTCTGTGGCTCTCCCTCAGTTATTTTTATTAAAATAGTATTGTTTCTTCACTGTTCTAGCTGTCTTTGTGAGCAGGATGAGCGCTATGGGCTTCTAGCCAACCATCTTCTGAACTTATCTTCACATCTCCTTTACTCAATCTTTTCAGATATGTTATTGGTGAAGTAAATGAAGAAAATCCAGCCACACAACATGAGAAGAATTTCAATAGTCTTTTGCAATAATTGTGGCTATTCTTTGATTCTACACAAAAATGCAATAAATAATAGTTCTTCAAAGGTTACTTGTGATGTGGAATCTGAAGTCATATCAATGAACTTTATGTACTCTGTTATACTAAAATATACTGGTCTATCTTGTACTTTGGTTCTTTTATCCATGCATGATTTTGTAACAGAATGCACTGGTTACTTGGAAAATATTGGTTCATATTGCAGGTCTTCCAAACATTGACACCTTTGATTATACAACGTCAAAAAATCACAGACATTAATATCATCCAATCAGAAAAAAATATTTTAAGGATGGGAGAGTTTTCCAGCTCACAGCAGCAGATAAAAGTTTTCCAAAATTCTAATTTTCATTTGAAAGCTCATTTTATTATCAGTTGTTTTCCTTGAACTGACTTGTCCATTTCATCCATTTTTAGAAAATATCTGCCAAAAACTGAAGTCTGAATAGTGATAGTTTGTCTATTAGTCATTCTTTCAAGTAAAAATGGTGCTCAATAGAAAAGGCTGTCAGTTCAGCCCACAACTCAAACAATCACATGGCTGCTTTTCCTCAGGACATTAATGGTAGTGTGGTATACAGCAGAAATGCTTTATGAATATTTCTTATTTTGTCACATAAAATACTTTTTAGAACCTAATGAAGGAATTCTTAAGGAAAACCAATGCTTTTTTATTCATAGCAAATATATGGCCATGAAAAATACAATGATCAGGAACAATTTGGTGCATTGCTTGATTCATGCTAAGGTGCCAGCAGTTATACACAACACAATTTATAAACAATCAGTGCAAATGTCAACACAGTGAAAAGGAAAAACGTCTTAGCATTAGTATGAAAAATGGTTTAACCTCACAGATGTCCTAAAAGAGTCTTAGAGACATTTGGGGCTCCAAGCACCACACTTTGAGCACCATTGTCCTAAGGTATCCATTATATATAATGAATTAATCTCTCCCATATCTAGAAGGACACCAGTTTTCTACCATCCTCGGGAGAATGGGGGAAAATGCCAATCAAAACACATTCTGTGATCTTGTGGTTCAAATGAGGGATTCCTTTTGAAAAAGATTGCTACTGTGTGCATGTATATATTTGATCAAAATAAAATGAAAATCAATTAAGGGAGGTAAATTGAAGCCAGCAGACTGCAAGCCTAAACTCCTGCACACAGAGACTCAGCCACAGCTGCCAGCTCTCCTCACATGCTCTCCTTTGCCATCTCACCACCATCAGGAATGACGAGGAAACAGATGAAGCTACCAAGTTCAGGAGCAAGAATCTGTGGTATGGACTCACTTTAGTAATCATGTAGCCTAGAGGTCAAGACTGGAAATGAAGAGACCTGGTGCTTATGCTGTATGGTATGATGCAGTAGAAAGATCACTGGCTGTGTTAAGCCTGATTCAAAGCCCAGTTCAAAGGTTCAAATCCCAGTTCTGTCACTTACTAGCTATGGGATGCCTGCCAATGCATTTCAACCTTTCTCTCTCCTCATCTGTAAAACCTTCATAAGGTTTTAAAACTATTAAATTTTTTAAAATAACTATAAAAATAAAGACTACATGACTGTGGACAGAGATTATCTATTATTATAACATTATATGCACAAAATATAAGTACAGGTCCCTGACCTCAAGCAGCTTATGACTTAGCTGGGGAGTCAGCATAACTTACACAAAAGAAGAGGTGACAGCACCAGGCCCTGTATAATCAGATACTAATTCCAAGGTCCTGACTAAAGGGATTCAGGAAGTGAGGAACCACTCTCGCCTTTAACCATATCTGTCATACAATCTTGGGATATCTATCATTCCCCAGTACCCAGGTAATTTCCTGATAACTCTCAGGAAAACCAGGGAAAAAAAAAAAGCTAACTAGGCAGACACAGCAGAGACAGAGGCAGCTGCCTACACAGGAAATGGAAAACAAGCCTTCCAAAGGCCATCTGCCCTGATGGGCTCTTCTCCACCATAAAGACACTCTTTAGGTTAAAGCATTGCATCCTGAAAGCTTGTGTTTAAATGGGAAAAATTAGCTTGAATGGGTGACCATTAACTAAAGTCTAAGTGGCTTTCCCAGTAGGATTATTCTAGAGAGCAGACTTCCCTTGTCTCCTATGATCAGGGAAAGGTCAGAAGAGGCCTTGGTCCAGTGGAGGCCTCAGCTGGGCTACTAGCCCCTGGGTCTCCATGGAACACCCAGGGCTCTGAAATTTGAGGACAATATGAGAGGGCTAATCTAGTAAACATCATCTCCATTTTACATATTACCAAGGGGGCTAGCTCCTAAGAGGAGAGAAAAGAGAAGTTCCACTAAGGTCTGGGCCTGGATTTCCCACTCTATAAGTACAGTCCTGCTTTGGTGTCAGACATTTCAGAAATCCTTCAAACACTCCCAGAAGCCACAAAGAAAAGGAGCTCCCTTCCCTAGAAGGTGGGTTTTCTGTATATGATGAGGGAGAGTATTGGGCTCACATATATGCCACACCAACAATATGACTTTCACTCAGAGGTCACCAGGAAAGATGAAACAGCCACTCCTCAATGGGAAACACAATTTAAATATCGTTTGTGCCCATGTCCCACCATACGCTGCTGAGCAAGAGTAATTAAAATAGAGGGGAAACCTGCTGACAAGTTAATAACAGCCCTAAAATCTCAAAGGGGTAACTGGAAAATAGCTCATCGTTAACATAAAACAGAAAGCCAGCCCTCAGGAAATGCCCCCAACATACAAAGGAGATGAAAGGAATAGAACAGTGAGGGATCTGAAACTTTTCTCACTCCATAGACCTGTGAGTTTTTGCTCATGTCTGCTTTTATCTTGTTTCTCCCCAGGGACACTGGTTGGTAGACTCACCCATATCGAGCTCTTGGTATCAACCACAGGGATGCTGTCTCTGCCTTGAAGTCTCTGGAATACAGACTCTTCAGAAACTGAGCTCTGCTAAGTGGAGGTCAAACAGTCTGGCTGGAGATCTTTCTTCCTTCTGCATTTAGAGGTGAATTCAGATGTTCAGCAGCGCTCCCAGCAAGACAGCGTATGGTGGACATGCTCACCTCAGGCTCAGCACTCCAACAGTATGGACAGTTTCAGAGCTACTGGCTGGGTGTTTAGCTGGAGGAATAAGGTAGGGTGAGAGGACCCCAGAGAAATTGCCTGCATGCTACAGGTAATCAAAGCCTGGTCTCTGTCTCCTATCCCAGAATATGCTCTTATAAACCTGCAACAACTCCTCAGTGCCAATTTCTACAAGACAAACTCTTTAGGGTCTCACAAGACCTTCTACAACTTTGCTCCATCTTTCTTGCCTGACCCTGCTGCACCCTCCCCAACTCTCCCTTTCCTCCAGCCAGGCACAACTGGTCCCCTCCTCTTGAACATTCTAGCCTTTGCAAATTTTATTTCCCCTGCTATAGAAGCTTCTTTCTTCCTTTTTTTTCCAGAACAATTTCAATGTATCTGTCAAGAACCAGCTCTGTGAACTTGCCCCTTTATGAGTGCTTTGCCTTTTGTTTCCTGGAGTATATTCACATTGCATCGAAAGTATCTATTTATCTAACGATAATGATAGTCAGCACTATTAATTGAATGACAGTTGTGTGCTAGTCAAGTACATTCACATTGCATTGAAAGCATCTGCTTAATAATAATCCAATAACAATGAGAATACAATAATGATAATTAGCATCATTAATTGAATGCCAATCATGTTCTAGTTACTGGGTTAGACACTTACATATATAATCTCAACACCTCATAAAAGCCTTTAAGTGAGTATTATTATCCCTATTTCGAGAAGTTCAAAAAGATTATGGGACTTGCTCAAAAATTTATAGCCAGTAACCAGGGCAGAATTCAAACCAGGATAGCCTGTGCTATCCTCAATAAGACAGAACTCCTCAATGGCAGGAACTATGCTTTATTCATTCCTGAACCCTTAGATTAATCAGGCCCTTAAATAAATATTTGCAAAAGGAAGAAATAGGGACATATCGGGGAACTTTATTCATGTTAATTGCCAACACCAGTTGAATGTTTATCATTAGCCAGGCACCTTGCTTAGCCCTTTACTTGCCTTCTTTTCATTTAATTTTTGCCAAAATACCTATGAGATAGGCACTATTATTATCGGTGTCTATCATAGTACCTGACACAAAATAGATGCTCAATTAATACATGTTGAATGAATTAATCTCCATTTTAGAGATGTGGTAACTGAGGCTTAGAAATACTAAGTATTTGGGGCTCACACCTGTAATCCCAGCACTTTGTGGGGCTGAGGTGACAGAACCAGCCTGGGCAACATGGTGAGACACTGTCTTTACAAAAAAGATTTTTTTAATTAGCTGGGTGTAGTGGCACACACCTGTAGCCGCAGCTACTGGAGAGGCTGAGGTGGAAGGATCACTTGAGCCCAGAAGTTCAAGGCTGCAGTGAGTCATGATTGTGCCACTGCACTCCAGCCTGGGCAACAGACTGAGACCCTGTCTCAAAAAAAAAAAAAAAAAAAAAACATATACACCATGGAATACTATGCAGCCATAAAAAATGAAGAGTTCATGTCCTTTGTAGGGACATGGATGAAACTGGAAACCATCATTCTCAGCAAACTATCGCAAGGACAAAAAACCAAACACTACATGTTCTCACTCATAGGTGGGAATTGAACAGTGAGAACACTTGGACACAGGAAGGGGAACATCACCCACCGGGGACTGTTGTGGGGTGGGGGGAGGGGGGAGGGATAGCATTAGGAGATATACCTAATGCTAAATGACGAGTTAATGGGTGCAGCACACCAATATGGCACATGTATACATATGTAACAAACCTGCACATTGTGCACATGTACCCTAAAAGTATAATAATAATAAAATAAAAAATAAACAACAAAGCATTAAGTATTTGGGAGACAAAGAATGGGAAGCCGCACAGCTGAGACTAGAATCCAGGTACAGCCTTCCTCAAGCCCATAGTAGGAAGGTGGGCAAACAACAGTCTCTCTTCCTTTATTGCTAGTCTGGATGAAGTGCAGCATTTGAGATTTCCAAATAGGGTAGAAGAGTTTTCTGAGTTAAGCCTTCTCTGTAGTATGCTTTGAAAGCTGATATATCATGGAAATCACCCCCACACTGTTTGGGAAGCCTGGATTCTGGTCTTGGCTTTTTTTGCCACAGCAGAATAACTTCAGTGAGCCACATAAGCTCCCAGAGTGCAGTTCCTGCATCGGTAAAGTAAATTGTTATTAGGCTCACATGACAATTCAGAGGGCGGTAGAGAATGCAGTGCTAGTGTGAATCTATGACACCTGTGATAAAGATAATTCCATCTCTGATTATGATAATGACCAAGGCCTGATAAGGGCTCCTGTGTGTTCATTACTCTGAGGCAAGACAGAGGGTGCAGTGAGTGGGCAGTTACTCCATACCCACAACTCCCCCAGTGGGCAGCTCCCAGAAAGTCCAATTAGCAGCCTTGCACCCTGCCTGGTCCTAGACAACTCTGGATCCCCGGAGAAGCTGCCGTCATCTCTCTCCCTCTCTGATTTTATTAGGATCATAATTGTACATTTCTCCACTTACCTGTGGGGATGAAAGGGCATCAGTGTTTCCATAATGCATGACTCTAGGCGTGAGGCTGGTGCCCCACGCATCACTTCTCATTGCAATGATGCAGCACCAAAAAGCCATCCTTCATCATGTGGAAAACACTCCCCATATTGCAGTGTCTCTATTTGCAACAGCCTCCAGGATATTCATGTGATAGATCATATATTTGCCTGAATCAATATTTCCCTGACACTGGGAAGTCCGCCATCCATCCGTCCCATTTTGTTTGATGGAGCTCTTCTGTGTTGCCTTTACTCAGGCTGACGGGATCACAAGCCCTCCTTCCCCACCTGACAGATGATGTCCAGATGAAGGATTGCTTCATAAATTAGCATCTTGGGAGCAGAGCCCCCAGAACTCAAGCAACCCTGCACAACAATGGAGCAGACAGCAAGGAGACATGGCATGAAGGGCAAAGGCATAGAACTTGAGCTGGCTATTAAGTATATATTACCTTTGTTTTTAATATAAATTTTTAAATTGTAAGTTTTTGTGACTTAATTTATAGTAATGGCCATGTTTAACAATTGGCTGGCCGGGCGTGGTGGCTCACGGCTGTAATCTCAGCACTTTGGGAGGCCGAGGTGGGTGGATCACGAGGTCAGGAGTTTGTGACCGGCCTGGCCAATATGGTGAAACTCTGTCTCTACTAAAAATACAAAAATTAGCCAGGCGTGGTGCTGCACACCTGTAGTCCCAGCTACTCAGGAGGCTGAGGCAGAAGAATTGCTTGAACCTGGGAGGCGGAGATTGCAGTGAGCCGAGGAGATGGGGCCACTGCACTCCAGCCTGGGCGACAGAGCAAGACTCCGTTTCAAAAAAAAAAAAAAATTGGCTGAAGATTTCATAACCGGTTCTTGTGAGGTGGCTCAAGTTGGCTCCAGTACACCACTGCGTACCTGCCTTCCTTCCTGGCTCCCTGTGACCTGTGACCTGCTCAGTTCTGGCCTCTTTATCCTTCACCTGGATGATTTTAATAGCCTGCTAATCTGTGTCTCAGCTTCTAGTCTCCTCTATTCCAACTGATATGGTTTGAGTGTGTGCTCTACCAAATCTCATGCTGAAATGTCATCCCCAGTATTGGAGGTGTGGCCTGGTGGAAGGTGTTCGGACCATGGGGGTGGATCCCTCATGAATGGCTTAGTGCCATCTCCTTGGTGATGAGTTCATGTGAGATCCGATTGTTTAAAAGTGTCTGGCACCTCCCACTCTCTCTTTCTTGCTCCCGCTCTCACCATGTGAGATGCCTGTTCCTGCTTCACCTCCTCCCATGATTGTAAGCAGCCCAAGGCCGCACTAGAAGCCAAGCAGATGCTTCCTGTGCAGCCTGCAGAACTGTGAGTCAATTAAACCTCTTTTCTTTTAAATTAACCAGTCTCAAGTATTTCTTTATAGCAATCCAAGAATGGCCTAACACACTCACCATCCAGTTTTATCTTTCCAAAATGTAGCTCCTAGTCTCCCCTGCTCAAAGACGTTAACTCTCCAGTGACTCTGAATGAAACATATGCTTTTTCTAAACAGCCAATGTCCTGTACGAAGCCTAAGATCCCCAAACTTTCTAGTTTTATCTCTCAAGCAGTGATGTGCAGCTCCCTAGCACTTCAGAGACTGACAAGCGTGGGTCTGAAGTTTGCTTTTGTCATTTATTAGCTGGGTGACCTGGGGCAAGGTATTTAACTTTACTGACGATTACTTTCCCCACCTGAAAAATGGATAAATTAATAGAGTTGTTAGGAGGATTAAATAAGATCATATGTAATACTCCAAGAACAGTGACCAGTCCATTTTAGGCATCCAATAATAGCAATGGCATCAGCTTCTTTTTATGAATTCCTCTTATGTATAAACACGGGTTCTTTATCTCATTTTATCTCATTGTTACCCCAAACTGATAGATCATTAGAGAAGTTTGTCAGCCTTTTCTGTTAAATGCAGAGTCACATCTCTCATGAAAATGCTACACTCTGAAGCCAATCTGTTTTACTTCTTACTCCTTACAAGTGCCTACCTTTTCCACATCTAAGCTTTTGCTCCTACACTCCTACACCTCTCAAAAACTCAGCCATCCACTCAAAAATAAAAAGACAACCGAATTAAAAAGCATCTGTGCCTGACCTGGGCCCAGGATTTGAATAGACATATGTCCCCCAACACCAAAAAAAAAAAATACAAATAGCTAATAAGCACATGAAAAGATGCTCAACATCATTAGTCATCAGGGAAATGCAAATCAAAACCACAACGAGATACCACTTCACACCCTCCAGGATGTCTATCATCAAAAAGACAGACTATAACAAGGACACTGATAAATTGAAACCCTTATTTATTGCTGGTGGGAATGCGGTAAGGTGCAGCCACTTTGAAAAACAGTTTGGCAATTCCTCAAAAAGTTAGACATAGGGATAATATATGACCTAGCAATTCCACTCCTAGGTATACACCCAAGAGAAATGAAAACATGTCCACATAAAAACATGCAGATGAAAGAACTGCACCATTTCTCATAATAGGCAAAAAGTGGAAACAACCCAAATGTTCATTAATAGATGAATGAATAAACAAACATGGGGAATATCTATACAATGGAATATTTTTCGGCCATGAAAAGAAATGAAGTACCGACACCTTTTACAACATGGACAAACCTTGAAAACATTATGCTAAGTTGAAGAAGACAGCCACAAAAAACTATAATTCCATTAATATAAAATACCTAGAATAGGCACATCTATAGAGACAGAAAGTAGACTAGTGGTTGCCTAGGGCTGGGGAGTGAGGGGTGAATGGGGCTGACTGCTCATGACTGCATGTTTCTGTTAGAGGCGACAAAAATGTTCTAAACTTAGATTGTGACAATGGTTGTGTACCTCTGTGAATATACTAAAAACCACTGCATTGTATGCTTTAAATGAGTGAATTTTATAGTATTTGAAGTATATCTCAATAAAGATGTTTTTTAAAAAAGAATACCTTGAAAAAAATTCCATCCGTCCATCAAAGCTTATTGCAGGGGGTGGGGGGCCCTTCCTAGTGCTCACCTTCCTACTCCAAAGTGGCTGCCATTGCTCCTGCTCTTGAGTCCCAGTATTCACTGAGTGTTGTTTCTTCTGTCATTTCTCACCTTTTGTTTCCTATTGTAGTTGTCTCTGTATTACTTTTATCTATTACATTAAGTGGCCTCAATTTTGTGAATATGTAAAATGGAACAGATTCAGTAGTGTTTTCATAAGATCACTCACCCTTGTATTCTGTTTTTTCACACAGGGAAGAAAAGAATGGTGTTTCAGTTCACACAAGAAGCTGTGCCTGACTTGGGCCCAGTCACTAGAGCATGTTGCAGACAAGAATGACATCCATCATAGTGTGTGTGTGTGTGTGTGTGTGTGTGTGTGTGTGTGTCGAGTGTGGTAGCTAGTAGATCTCCAAACTGGGTAAAATCTGCAGAGCCATGATTGAGTTTTGCAGGCTGGGTCTTCTCCATGTCCCCAGGCCCAGGGCTGTACCTCAGCTACAAATCCAAGGAATATGTGTGGAATCCTTCCCTTGGCATTCAGTTTGAGACTCTGTCACCAACATAAGATCAAGGAAACCTGCTGACAGGGTGGCCACCAAGGACAAAACGAAACTAATTCTTCAGTGGTTTTAAGTGTTTCTTTCACCAGGGGGCATTTTCCTTTGGAACGACAAGTTGTCTTTGTTTTTATTTATAAACAAAAATTTGCTGCCACTTCCAGCTTCCCTCAGGGTGAGCCCTATGCACCCAGATGAGCAGAGAAAGGCTGGTTTTTTTCCTTTGTCACTGGGCCCTCCACGGGGACATAGGAGACTGGTACAAGTCCTGTATTTAGGCACAAAGTATTGAGCCATGTCGGCAAGACCAGGAGGAGGTGCAGGATAAGGAGAGGGTGTCATCGACCACAAAACTGTGACACAGAGGCAAAGAGGCAGAAGTAGGGGAAGGCTAGTCCGCTCAGGGCAAAGGGAGGAGGCCTTTACAAATGAGAGACTCGGCAGCCTCTCTGGAAATGGGAACTTGTGCTGAAGTTGGCTCTCATGGAGAGCTCCTGGAAATCGAATTTAACTCTTTTCCCCCAGTGAAGATCAAGCAGAGAAAACAGAGGCAATCCATTTTCAGAGTGTGGCCCAAGTAGTCAGTTGCTGCCAGGGTGTCACTGATGCCTCATTTGCTGGTCACCGACATTGAGGTGAAAATACACAACAATTGGCATATGTGCATGCACGCGCTCAAAACGCACACACACTACCCCCACTTGCAGCTGGCACTGTGGGTGCTAAAGCTGATCTACAGATGCAGGGAACATGGATGTGCTGCTTATAAGCCTGAGCTGGGAGACAAACCCATAGTGCTCTTCTTTTGGAACCAGATGGGAAAGGCATTCATGTATCGCCACCTAATGGTACTTACACCTCATTACAGTCTTGGACCTGTTCACCATCAACAGGTAGATGGGTCCACTGAGGACTCACAATGAAAGATGTAAACTTGGACTTCAACTTCCAAATGCATATCCCAACTCTCTGGTCACAGCTCATGGTTGGGCCTTAATGAGTGTGTGCAGGGCTGGTTACCAGCGCTGCCTCCGTGCCCCTATTCCACATCCTGTACCTTTTGGCTGCTCTCAGCTATTTCTCTTATACTTCCTAGGATCCCCTTTAGCACAAAGCTTTGATCCCTTTTAACAGGCACTCCTGAGGACTATTACTCCAACAGTTATCACTCACTTTTCCAGATGTAGAATCAGGTGCCGAGGACGGGTCTACCAAGTGATTCTGCCTAGAGCCAACCTGCCACATCTGCCTTCGCCCTATGCTCCAGGTTCCAGCCTGCCTTCGTGGATAAGCCCTGGGTCAATGGGATTTGAAAACCAAAGGATATTTCATCCCCTGCTGCAGGCTCAAGGGCTTAAGGGCTGACAACTCGCTGAAGTCTGGGGAGGTCTTTTTGGCCTCTTTCACCTGCCGGTTATATCAAACCCCTGAGGTTAGCTGAGTGGCCCCTGTTGACTTTTGAGAGCCCCAGGTGATTGGAAATCCTGAGTAACCAATAAGGAAGAAAGGGCCTTTGGGGTTGACCAAACTCTAGAGTGTTTATATTCGTGAGAGCAGGCTACAATGGCCCTGCATCTGCCCTCCTCTCCCTGGGCTCAGCAGTTACTCTCTCCAGCTTCTTTCAACAAAAAGAGTGGGTCCTTGCTTCCTTTTAAAGGTTGGAAGAACAAAGTCCAGAGATGTTTAGCCAGTTGCCCATGATCACACAATGGAGCCCAGTGGAGAGAAAGCTAGGACCTGGGTCCCTCAACTCCCAAGCCTTGGCACCTCCTTCTCAGGCTGGCCTGGACTTCAGACACCCCTGATGAATGCCCCTCTCTGTGAAATGGCATTGACATTGTAAAATGCACTTTGGTTGGTTGGAAGGTAAAGAGTTGTCTTAAGTGACAGGTCCCTGAATCTACTGTACCTTTGAGTAGAGTGCAGTATGAGAAGCTGAAACCATTGGTGTTTAAGTAAATGTACAAGCTGTTCACATGCTCTATTCTCTTAGCTGCAATAGTGGAAGGTTCTAATGCCCTAGGTAGGGGTGGGAAAACCTGGTTGTGACAAACCTCTCTCTCTCTCTCTCTCTCTCTCTCCTCTCTTTTTCTCTCCTACTGTCTCTTTTCTTTTCTATCTTTCCTCTTCCTTCTCCATCCCTCTTTCAAGTTCTTCCTCAGTAATTCCCTACGGTATTTGACCAGGCATTTCTTTTAAAAAAGAATATTCAGGAATTTTTTAAGCCCAAATGCAACTCTTTCCCCTGATTTTGTAAATACTCCTCTACCTAAACATCCCACCCTCCCTTAAAGTCAGCTGGAGGAAAGTCCTAATCATCTTTCCTCTGAACTGGATGGACTCGGGGAGGAACCCATGAAAGAATTATTCATTCTATCACACGAATATGGTATGAAAGCAGTCCTCTCTGTTTTTCCCACTGCATATGGCATACTCCATTAAGAGGTGGATCCAAATGTTACCCAGCCATAGCCAGGAAGACCAGAGAGGGTTGGACGGGCTAAAGATGCTTCTACATGTGCTAGGCACAGGAGACACCAGCCATCTGTTAAGGGGCTAATCTAAACTCTGTTCATAAAATGCTCAACAGAAATTGCTGGCAACAACACATTGTCCTTTGATTATGAATCCAGCTGTCCATTCTAGAATAAGGAAAATTGATCCCCTAATAATACAACTAACTTTTTTGGTACAGAACTTACCTAGTTTTTGAACTGAAAGGCTCGTGTCCTGAGAAATTTCTTAGTCTTAGGCAAACTAAGGTGGTCTCTATAGACCCCAACGTTGTGCTGTTGCTGCTGCTGCTGAGATGATCTCCTTCACCTTTTCTTACACCTTTGCAATAATCTTCCATAGCTGTGAGTAACCTAGATGCATCTCTTCCTGTACCCATGAGGTACCTAGCCTGCAGGATGGTATTCTCCCTCCGCACCCCTGCTCCATGTCCACCAACCTGGTTCAACTTCTTTTGTCCATCAATAATTCCCTGGCTTATTCTATTCATTTTCTAGTTTGAAATACTTGACATCTTTGCTTAGACCCTCTCCTGCATTGCCTATATGCAATTAATCACCAAGTCCTATTGACTTTTATTTTGAGATGTTTGTGGAATCTGCCTTTGTCCATCTTTACTACCATGACAATAACAATAATGATAAAAATAAACTCCAACTTTAAGGACCAATCAGAGTGGACTCAAGAAAGAATGGAAGGAAAGAAATAGGAATCAACACGTATATAGGATTCAGAATTTCTCAAAATTATTTGATGATGAAACTTACTTTTCACAGAACAGCTCTTGGGACCATTGTTCCATGAAATACAGTTTGGTAAAGGCTCATCTAACCCACAAATGGACTGTTGTGCAGAATTAGAAAGAATGTTCAAAACCATCAAGACAAGTTCTACAATTTTATACATGAAAACTCTGAGACCTCAGGAGATAAAGTGGCCCAAGCCACACAGCTCACTTCTGGGAGACCCAGGCTTTGAATCAAGTACTGAGTTCCTTACTCTCCACCATCCACTACTCCCTACCAGATGCCCTGCATTCTGAAATAGCCTCCTATCTTCACTGAAGTCCTACTCGTAATTCAAGGTCAAGCTTACTCTTTAGCTCCTCTACATTCTTTGTCAGTCATACAAGCCTACACTGATACCAATCTTGGCTGAATTTCAATAACAGTTACTTTTATCATTATGTTTGCTACCTTGTATTAGGCACTATAAACAACTAGTCCACGTACCACTACATGCCCAACTTATGCCCATGGCATTCATTGCTAATCCACCAGATCATCCTTTTCAATTGAGCCCAGAAAGAGCTTCAGAATCATTTTCAGCATAATACTCTAGATAGCCATAGCCAGCCAGCCATGATTAGCACGTGAGATGAAACTTCTTTAGGCCCAACTTTGTTGTTTAATTATTTCATGTGTGTGTCTTAATTGCTTTGCCATGTGGGACCTTCCTAAACAGCAAAAACAATGTCTTCGAATTCTTTCACGTAACTGTTAGCTGCAAGTATAGTTCTTTGCCCTAATAAGTGCTCAATAATTGTTTGAATGCCTGAATATCAAATATGAAAATGAGAATAATTAACATTTATACAATGTTTAGTTACAGAGTACTTTCACATGCTATACCACATTTAATTAATTCTAACAACAGCACTGGAAAATAAGTATAATTATGCTCTTTAGTTCCTTCTAGACAGAAAGCTTTCATGGGGATGAAAGACTGTTCCTTAGCTCAGAGTAGGGAATCAAAGTAGGCGGGGCTTAGTTCAGAGTGGGCGGGGCTTAGCTCAGAATAGGCCATCAATTTGTAGAATTGAAGTGTGAACTCTGAGGATGAAGAAACAGGGCTGCAGGGGTGTGTAACTTGCACCAAGTCACCCTACTTTACATTGCGCCACACCGCCCAGCTAAGTCTTCGAAATGTTCATAAGGTGCTTGAGCACTGATTCCTTTGCCTGTTCAATGTTTGAATTCCACTGTCACTGGCTTTTCTTTTTTCCTCGTAATGAAGCAAAACCTGGTGGGTTAATTAATCCTTCTTGATGCTGGGCAGCAGTAATAGGATCAAGAAGAAAGCCTTTCTCCTCCTGTGCTCCCAAGGATGCCCAGCGGGAGACTGTGAGGAGATGGAACACAGCCTTCACTCTGTTAATTGTTCAAGAGCAAATCACCTGTCAGCAGGAAACAGAAAAAAAGACAGCACGAAATTCAGAGTCAGAACAATAAATAACATTCAGTGCTATACCCTTGAGAAAAATAAAGCTGCCAACATTCTGTTTCTTAGGGAAAACAAAAATGCTCAGTGTTTCTGCAGACCTGTGAAATCCAGTAGAAAATACTGCAGCCTGCCCAGACTGGTCGTCTCTTTTATCAACTCAGGGTGCACCAGCCCAAACCCCACAGCCAGCACCACTGTCCAGAGAGACAGGCACATGTATGCAGGAATAAAAATGATTACGCAAATATAAAAATGGATTTCCTAATAAGAAATTCCCTTTGGTGAAAGGGACAGAGGAGCATATTACAATGGCCTCACACTATTCTCTCTGTGTCCACTCCCATACTCCTAAATTCACCCTAAGTAGCTCCCTAAGGTGAGTCCCCCATGAGCTGGCCTCTCTACCACTCTATAGCCTCGTACCTCAGGCTTTTCCAGCACCAAATTGCTCCTGGTGTCACTCCGGACACTGCTCACACCTCAGCCTCTGCTCCTTCCTGCCTCTCCAGCAGGAGTGACTTTTCTGTCACCTGCTAAATTCTCCTCTACCCTTAAGGATCATCTCCTGTCACCACTTCCCCACCTCTAGCCTGTGCATCTGGAGCACTCTGTGACACTCTACTATTTGCTGTGACCAAGCAAACAGATTCCTGAGCCAGATAACCCAGATTCAAGTCTATTCTCTGCTACTTATTGCTTGTCTGATCTTGGCTGTGATCTTTCTTGATGGCTGGGTGTCTCTGTTCCTCATTTATAAAATGGGATGGAGATAATAATAGTTCCTACTTCACAGAGTTGTGTGAAGATTAAACTGTTTAATACATGTAAATTACTTAGCCCAATGCCCATTGTGAGCTACTATGGCCATTAATAATTTCACCATAATCATCAGCATATCCATCTTCTTCTTTAAGCTATGAGTTATTTGAGGGAAAGGTCCACATCTTATCCTTCCCTTTATGCCCATCACTTAGATAGTTGCTATGGTTTGTATGTGGTTTGTCCTCACCAAAACTCATTAAGTTTGACTGCCAGTGAGGCAGTGTTGGAGGTGAGGCCTGATGGGAGGTGTTTGGGTCATAGGAGTTTCACCCTCACAGGTGCCTTGGTGCTGTTTTTGCTGTAGTGAGTTCTTCTCAAGACACAGGGTTAGTTGTAGCAGAAATGGATTAGTTCTCACAAGAGTGGTTGTTATAAAGTGAGAACACACTTCATGTTTGGCCCCTTCCTGTGTTTACTTCCCCTTTGACCTTCCACCGTGTTATAACAAAGCACCAAAGTCCTCACCAGAAGCTAGTGCCATGCCCCTGAACTTCTCAGCCTGCAGAACCATGAGATAAATAAACCTTCTTTGTTTATAAATTGCCCAGTCTCAAGTATTCTGTTATAGCAGCACAAAACAGACTAAGATAGAAAATTGGTGCCAGGAGTGGGATATCGCTATAAAGAAACCTGAAAGTATAGAAGCAGCTTGGAAATGGTTAAGAGGCAAGAGTTGAAAAAGTTTGGAGGAGCAGACCAGCAAAAGCCTGTATTGCTATGACTTAAACATTAAGTGTGATTCTGGTGAGGGCTCAGAAGAAGACAAAAAGATGAGGGAAAGATTGGAACTTCTTAGAGATCAGTTAAGCAGTCATGACCAAAATGCTGATAGAAAATGGACCATAAAGGCCATTCTGATGAGGTCTCAGATGGAAATGAGGATATTGATCTGGAAACTGGAGCAATGGTCAGCCTTGTTATATGGTTGCAAAGAACGTGGCTATATTTTGTCCATGCCCTAGGGTTTTGTGGAAGGCCAAACTTAAGAGCAATAATATAGCATATCTGTGGAAGGAATTTCTAAGCAGCAAAGCACTCAGGCTGCTGCATGTTTACTTCTAACTGCTTACAGTGAACTGCTAGGAAAAAAGGGAAGCAAAGTAGAAAGATCTGGAAAATTCACAGCCTGGCCATGTGGCAGAGAATTAAAAAAAACATTTTTCAAGAGAGACATTAAGAGTTTGGTGGAGCAACACTTACTAAAGAGATTAGCATGGCTAAAAGGGAATCAGGTGCTTATAGTCAAAACAATGGGGAAAAGGCTTCAAAGGCATGTTTAAGGTTTTTGAGGGCACCCTTCCCATTACAGACCCAGAAGCCTAGGAAGACAGAATGGTTTCAGGGGACAGGTCTGGGGCACTGCTGCCCTGTGCTGCCTCGGGATGCTAGCTCCCCTCAGGATACTACTGCAATGGCTCAAGTGACCCCAGGTGAGAAAAAGAGACTCATGTGGCCACTCCAGAGGGTGCAAGCAGTAAGCCTTGGAATCATGTGGTGTTAACTCTTTAGGCCTGCGGAATGTGAGAGCTATGAAGTATGTCTTCCTCCACCAAGATTCCAAAGGATATATGGAAAAGCCTGTGGGCCCAAGCAAAGACTTGTCACAGGGGAGGAGCGCTGCAGAGAGCCTCTACTAGGGCAATGACAAGAGGAAATGTAGAGTTGGAGCTGCCACAGCGAGTCCCCACCAGGGCAATGCCTAGTGGAGATACAAGGGCAGGGCTGCCACTGGGACCCCCAGAATTGTAGAGCCACTGGAACATGCAACGTCAGCTCAAAAAAGCCACAGGCATTTGACTCCAACTTATGAGAGCAACCAAGTAGGATATGCCCAGCAAAGCCATGAGAACAGTGCTGTGCAAGGCCTTGAGAGCTCACCACTCACACTAGTGTGCCCAGAATGTGGGACATGGAGTCAAAGGAGATCATTCCAGAGGGTTAAGATTTAATGTTTACCCCGAAGGGTTTTATTTTTGCTTGGAACCTGTTACGTCTTTCATCTTTTGGTGTATTTCTCCATTTTGTAATGGGAATATCTACCCTATGCCTGTTCCACCATTGTGTCTTGGAAGTAAATAACTTGTTTTTTATTTTATGAACTCAGAACTAAAAGGAACTTGCCTTGAGGCTCAGATAAGACTTTGATCTTTGGACTTTTACACTGGTGCTAGAACAAATTAAGACTTTTGGGACCACTAAGAGGGAATGATTGTATTTTACCTGTAAGAAGGACATGAGTTTTGGTCAGGGGATGGGAGTTGGCCAGGGGTGGAATGCTATGGGGTGGAATGTTATGGTTTGGACATGGTTTGTCCCCACCAAAACTCATATTGAAGTTTAGTTGCTAATGTGGCCATACTGGGAGATGGGGTCTAATGAAAGGTGTTTAAGTCACAGGGGCTGCACCTCATGGGTCTTGATGCCATTCTTAAAACAGTGAGTGAGTTCTCACTCTCATAAGACTAGATTAGCTCTTGGGGGAATGGATTAGTTCCTGCAAGAATGGATTGTTATAAAGCATGGATGCCCTTCATATTAGGCTCCTTCATACATGCCCACTTCCCACGACCTTCCACCATGTTATGACACAACAAGAAAGACCTTTTCAGAAGCCAGCACCATGTCCTTGAACTTCCCAGCCTGCAGAACTGTGAGCTAAATAAACTTCTTTTCTTTATAAAGTATCCAGTATCAGGTATTCTATTATGGCAACATAAAACAGACTAAGATAATAATGTTCCTGAACACCTGTCTTCCCTCTCCCCTGCATGATTATTAACCTTTCCTACCCATTGCTTGTGACTTGCAGTGCCTTCCTAAAGGAAGGGTACCTTGCCCATTGACGACAAGCATAATTATGTACTTGTCTTGGCCAATAAAATGTGAATGAAAGTGACAGTGTTCCCGTTCCACAAAGACACTTCAAGAGGCATTCCATGATTTTACTAGCTCCTTTCGTCCCTCTGCCATGAGAATGGCATGTCTCAGATAAGGTTGCTCCTCCATCCTAGATCCCAGATGCCAGGAAACAGCTTGGAACAGGAGTAGAACGACAGCTGACTGGCAATGAGCATGCAATATGAACAAGAAATAAGTATTTGGTTATAAGCCACTGGGTTTTGGGGTTGTACTTATCACAACATAACTTAGTGAAAGCTGGTGAACACAGCACCCAATAAAAGTTTGTTGAATAAATGAATATACTGAAAAAACAATGAATGAGTGAGTGAATTATGTTTTCTCCAGTACCTAGCTAGGACTATGGTTCTTATGTACATCACCAAATCAACTAATTTAAGCATGTGCTCTTTTAATAGTGACTATATTATCTGACACTTACTTTGGATATAAATACTTTTAACTAAAAAGTCAGGCATGACCTTGTAGTCATCCAGACACCACTCGGAATATCCATCCCCAGAACCCATGTGGAAGTAAAGTGGCAGTGAAGAGACCAACACTTCTTGGGCAACTACTGTTTCAAACACTTTACATATGCCAGCTCAGCAGAGCCCCTTCAAGTATATTTTCCAGATGTGGAAACAGGCTCAGAAACCCTGAGAAGGTCATCAGAGATATAAGTGATGGTACACGTGTGAACGCAGATCTGTTTGAGTACAAAGCCCATGTTTTCCATTAAAGGACGCTATAACCATCAAAGTACTTGGAGATAAGCCAGGGAAGTCTGGCTAACCAACAACACTCCTCCTATACTACCTATATTCCTCACCTCTTTTTCTTATTTTTTGGCACATGGCCCAAAATGTTAACAGTTGGAGATTCAAGTGAGATAATTTGAAAATGCAACACTCCTGGTGGGATTAAACAGACTATCCATCATTAGTCTCAGTAAATGAATTTTTTAAATCAGATTGTTTTCTCATCACAAAATTTAAATCTGTCCAAGAAAAGAGAAAATGCTAGTTTGGGTATAATAGAAGAGGGAGAAAGTGGAAAGAGTAGCTCCCATCAGGGGCTGCTTTTCTGTGGGGCTGAGCAGGTAAGATAATGAGTGAAGAAGGCTGGGTAGGGTATTGGCAAGCTGGAGTCCACAGACCTGACCTAAAGGGGACAGCTCCTGGTCTATTTCAGTCAATTACTATTAGGTAGGAATGCCAGGCTTTTAGAAGTTGGAAATCTGGACATGTATTTGGAGTCTCCAAATGTTTAAATGTTGGCAACTAATTCAAGTTGTTTTTTTCAATACTGTATATTCGAACCTTTCTTCCAAAAGTTGTTATATGGGTTCTGACATATGTGTCACCTATTTGTTACTCACAGGACACTTGAGAGAATTGCATGTTTAGAGCAGCCTACATTTAGAGGAGATAAAGGGAAGGGGGAAGTCAGAGCATATTATAAGACCCTTGTGCTTAGGAGGGAGAGGAGAAGGGGCAGAGGACAGTGAAAGGCAGGTACAGAATGTAAATGGAAAGTCACTGAAAAACTTCTTTTAATGCAATTGGCTTGGCCTGACTTCGTTCTTCCCTATTTCAGCACTGCATCAAATAAAAGCAAATTCTGATAAGGAAAAGCCATTTGTTCCAGAATAAACTTCATTACTCTGCTAAATATCTTTACTGGATTTCATTTGATCCTAGTCATTCTCAATTCAATATTGCACTCAGCCAGCTTAACCTTTTAAAAGGAGTTTTATTGATGGTGTGTTATGCAGACATTAACATTTCTCAAAAAAAAAAACAAGAAAGAAAGAAATAGAAAAAATTAAATTGCTCTGCTTAGCGATCTTAATTATCTGGAATAATTAGCTCCAGTCAATTCTCCAACAAGAGCTCTCCAGAGAAATCAGTGTTTAGGGAAAGGGAAAGAAAGGAGGAGCCAAACTTGGGATCAAAGCAAGTATTTGGCAAGTTATTTGGAAATATCTAATTAACCCCGAGAGTGAAGCTGACAATCAAAGCCACTTTTTTTGGTACTTAATTATTAAAAGCAAATGAAGAAAGTAAATATTCAGGGAACTGGTCTATTGAGCGTTGGAAAATAGGAGCCACTTTGTGCCAAAGTACTCAATAATCCCCAAATACATTGGCATGCATGCTCCATGCCTTTGTTCCTGCTAATCTCTGTTTAAGATATTTTTCCACCCCATCTCTGCTTAGAAACTCCTACTAGGCCTCTATGATATCATCCCTAACCCACGTTTCTCCCATACCAGAGAAAATTATTCTCCCCTTTTTGTCCATAGTACTCATACTGTTGTGCCTTCATTAGGTATTTTTCTGCCCCCCTAGATGGTAAGCATAGTGCATATTCATCTCTGTATCCCCAGTGCCTAGTGTGTCTGGAACAGAGTAGGTGCTTTATAAGTGGAAGTTGAATGAATCTACAGAGCAACAGCTTTTTATGCAGTCTGGTACATACTGGAAAGTCAACAAATCTTCCCTTGTTTTTCTTTCTTGCCTTTTTTCTCCCTCCTCCTCTATTCTTTCTTTCTTTCTTTCTTCTTTCTTTCTTCCTTCCTTTCTTTCTTCTTTCTTTCTTTTTTCTCTCTCTCCCTTTCTCTTTCTTTCTTCTTTCTCTTTCTTTCTTTCTCCTTCCTTCCTTCCTATTTATTTTAGTTTTAGGTTCTACCATTAAAGGTATTGATTTCAGAGCTGCTGGGCCCAAACAACAGTGTTCTCCTATGTGAGTCTGTGGTTTTGACTTGTGATTGACTTTCAATAAGCCAATGCAAATTTCAGTGGAGTGGCTGAGAAACCCCAGTGCCCAGGTAGCATGGGGGTACTCGATGCACAACCCCATTAGAAGAGAAATTTCTTGATTTGCAGCCACTACTCGGGCTTGCAGTGTGAGAAACTTCAGTTCCCAGAAGAAGAATTTAAAGAAGAAATGATGCACAAAGCATCTGCTAATGTAACCCTGGGTTATTTTTTAAAACTAGCTTGTCACTGTTGGTACATAAATCAGTACAGCCATTATGGAAAACAGTATGGAAGTTCCTCAAAATACTAAAATTAGAACTAACATATGATTCAGCAATTCCACTACTGGGTATATATTCAAAAGAAAGGAAATCAACATATCAAAGAGATATCTGCACACTTAACGTGTATTGCAGCACTATTCACAATAGCCTAAATATGGAATCAACCTAAGTGTCCAACAGATGAATAGAGAAAGAAAATGTATATGTACACAATAGAATATTACTCAGCCATAAAAAATAATGAAATCCTGTCATTTGTAGCAATGTGCATGGAACTGGAGGTCATTAGGTTAAGTGAAATAAGCCAAGCACAGAGACAAATATTGCATCTTCTCACTTATATGTGGGAGCTTAAAAAGTAGATGCCATAAAGATAAAGAGCAGACTGGTAGTTGCTGGAGGCTGGGAGAGTGGAGGGAAGGGGGAATGAAGAGAAGCTGATTAATGAATACAAATATATAATTATATAGAAGAAATAAGATATGGTGTTCAATGGATCAGCAGGGTGACTATCATTAATATTAATCTATTGTACATTTCAAAATAGCTAGAATGTGCGCCGGGTGCGGTGGCTTATGCCTGTAATTCCAACATTTTTGAAAACCAAGGCAGGCAGATTGCTTGAGCCCAGGAGTTTGAGATCAGCCTGGGCAACATGGCAAAAACCCGTCTCTTTAACAAATACAAAAATTAGTCCACATGGTGGTGCACGCCTCTAGTTGCAGCTACTTGGAGGGCTGAGGCAGGAGGATTGCTTGCACCTGGGTAGAGGGGAGTCCAGCCTGGGTGACAGAGACTCTGTCTCAAAAAGAAAAAAAAACAGCTAGAATGTTTCAAAATTTGAATGTTCCTAGCAAAAAGGAAAGATAAATATTTAAGGTGATGGATAACCCAATTGCTCAGAATTGATTATATGAATGTATCAAATTATCACATGTACCCCCAAAATATGTACATCTATTATGTATCAATAAGAAAACTAGCTTGTGTACCTGCCGTGAGGACCATGACAATCCTGGGGGCCATTTGTAGAATATTCATCCCCAGACTCTGAACTGAGTCTTGAAGTCTGAGTAAGAATTTGCTGGGTGAAGAAAAGGGTAACGTTCTTTCAAAAGGAGAGACCAGCATAAACAAGGGTCCCGGGGGGCAGAACATCATGATAGGAGTAGGAATGCAGGTGAGGTTTTGGTTTTCTGCAGAATATTGGTACTCTGCTATAACCTGTAAATAGAGAGTAAGAAAGTGAGGCAGGTAGTGTTAAGAAGAGACATTCATAGTCATTGCTAATTTCTGAGCTTGGATGTGGCTGTTAGTTTTAGCCTCAGGGTACACTGCCCCCTGCACTTCCAATCTCACTCAGGTGTCCTACAAGCACCCCAGATTCAATAAGTACAACAATTGATGCTTTACATTTCTCGTAAGCTTTCTTCTCCTCTTAACATTCTGTTAATTGCACCATCAATCCTAGTTGTCTAAGGCAAAATTCTTGGAAATCATTCTTGAACCTCTCTTTCCCTCTCTCCCACACCCAATTAACCAGCAAATCCTGAAGGCTTAGCCTCCTAACATTTCCTGCATCTCTGCATTCTGCCCTATTTCCATTATCACTGCCTTCATCATCTTTTCCCCTGGACAATAGCCACCCATAACCCCTTACCTCCAGCCTTGCTCACCTCAACTCCAAGCTTCCTACCTATCACTCCTCTGCCAGCATGTTCAGGATAAGGTTCAAACTCCCAGACATGCATATAAGGACTTCTGAGCCCTGGCCTTGCCTGCCCCTTCTGCTTGATCTCTGTCTACTCACTTCTGCATTGCACTTTCCACTTTGATAAATCTGAATGGCCTGGAGTTCCATGACACTATATGCTATCTCTCATCTCTGTGTCTTTGCTCCTGCTCTCCCCTCTCCTGAACCCTCCTCTCACTTTTCTTCAGCTGGCTCTTACTAAACTTTCAACACTCAGTTCTGGCATCTTCTCTTCCAGGAAATCTTCCTTCAAAGTCCAGACTCCCCTAGTGTCCTCCTCTGTGCTCCTGCAGCCCCCTGTGCACATTCCTGCCCTTTACCTCCCACCATTTCATGGGGATTAAGTAATTACATGAGATCTGTCTCTCCAGGCTCTGGCTTCCTCAAGGACAGCTGCCACCAGGTCCTATCCATCTTGTAAGTCCAGTTCTTAACGTGGTGGCACTCGGCTGTTACACATATGTTTGTTGAGCTGCACTCCAGGCTGTGCCCTCTGAGATGACTCTTTTGGCAAATAGAAAAGCTCAGCCTAAGCCAAGATGTGCCTGCCCCAAGACACAGCAAAGGAAGGTCCAGAGAACAGCCAAGGGCTCCAGAGAGTTCCAGAAAGTTTTTGCTCTGTTTTGTTTATAAGTTTCTGAAAAGTGGAAAGCATACAGGCTATAGAGTCCAAACATATCTGGGTTGAAATCTTAGTCCTACCAGTATTAGCTAATGTAACCATTGGAGAAATACGTCATCTCGGTGGGTTTCAGGTAAATTATCTAAAATATTAGGATTATTTGCTTAAATGGAAAAACTGTTTTTAAAGCCCCTAGCACAGTAACTAGTACAATGTAAGTGCCCAATAAATGTTAGTTCTCTCTTGTAGCCTCCATATTTCTGGAGAAATAGGAGATCCCCATGGCCTGGAATAGAATAACTTTGGTTGCCAGAAACACAAGATATTCTTGTTTTCTACATGCCTTAAAATCTTATCATTTTAAACTCTAATTACTAGTACTAATTGGCTTTCATCTCTTAAGAGCCTATTTTATGCCAGGTACTATGCAAGATCCTCAAGGTACGTTTTCTTACTTATTATTTGTGATGGTAGCGATGTTAGTAAAGTTAGCTCTTACTGAGTCCTTAACTATGCCCTGCTCTGAGTCCTCTCCAAGTATTAACTCATTCAGTCCTCACAATAACTTTAAGAGGTAGATAGAGTATCCCCATTTTAAAGATGAGAAAACTGAGTCTCAGAGTTGTTAATTTGCCCAAGGTACATATTATGGAATAATGCTGGGACTAGAATTCATCTGCACAACACCAAGGACTCTAATTTTTTCATCTTGCTATAAAGTATCTTCAGTATTGTACACAGTTTTATTAAAAGTTAAGATGATAGCTTTATTTTAATACCTTTCCTCATAATGCCCTTTCCACTTTTGGAAACTTTATGTTGTTCAATCAGCAAATAGTGTATTGGGTAAGAGAAACACTAGGTTATTTTCAACCTCAAGCTATTTAATGAGATCATTGGAGTCAACTGGTCAACTGTTGTGACCTACGAGAGAGAATATTTTCTGGACTGTGTCTTTATTACTGACAGATCATTGTGGCAATGTGTAATATTCAATAACTGACTTGTAACATACCATACTGAATTGTACTACTTGTACAGATTGAATTACGAATGTGCTTTTATAAAGGCCAACTCTTTGGTCCCAGGAACCCTGAAGACCTCAAGTTAATTGCTCATTCAGCAAGAATTTACTGAATGCCTGATAAATCCCAGGCCTTATTCTAGTCTGAGGATTCTGAGATGAATAAGTCACTGTCTCTTCTCCTAAGGTACCCACAGTCTCACTGGGGAGATTCACAGAGGAATTGACTTCACCCAGGGTGACAAGTAAAGTTCCCCTCTTCAAATCCAAAGCAAGGCTCTAATGTCTCAGGAGTGTTCTTAATGCATCATCCAGAACTCCCTTCATTTTATCCTTAGATATATATTGGCCTAAAAAGCCTCAGCCTGGCATAGTGGAGTGGTTTGGGGCAGAGTAGACTCTCAATGTGGTTAGAGAGCACTGAGGACCCCTGCTTCTATGTGGACTCTCACATGGCTGAGTCTCCTCAGCCCCAGGTGGGAAAAGGGCTGGCCTGAGGTTCTACTGCTGCTGAGTCAGATCCTCCTCTCTTGCTAGACAAAGAGCATTTTCCTCCCCAACAACAGCGTGTCAGACCGAGCTCCCTGCACCATCCTCCCCCGCAATCTCCCAAGCACAGTATCGACACTTGAGATGGACTGGAAGGCCCTGAGCAAATATTGGCTCTTGAGAGGTTAATAATTTACAAATGAACTACAGCTGATAAAAAAAAAAAATCAGGGCCTTTGCTGCTGGGATATGGTGCATGACATGCATGCAGCCAGTCTTCTCCAGTGGGCAACAAAGTGGCAGGCACCAGCTGGCTCCTTTATAAAGGTTTAGAGAGGTGGGCCAGACCTTGTTCTTTCCCATATAACAACGGGAGTCGTGGGGAGCCCGAGCGTTTGGTCAAACCACCAATATTTCTTCTGTACACAGAAGTCCAGTGAGATGCATAGGCAGCACGCTTCTCCTGGGGGCAGCTTGGCAGCTCCATTCTTCATGCCAGGAAGGACATCAGGATTTTTATTCAACTCCACAGGCCTGCCACACCATCCCACCAGCCTTTGCAAACCACTTCTGTACTGTGACTTAGACCCCCTTGGACAGGCAGGTGCCTATGTTTGATCCCCTGCAGAGAGAAGGAAACAAAGCCCACTTTTTAAAGCTGTTGTTGATTCCTTGGGATTTTGGTGGGCACATACAGGAGTGAGCAAGATGAAGCAGAGGAACAGAAAAAGCCTGCCAGCAAGCAGCCCGTGCATTTAGGAGCTGAGAAAGGAGCCCACAACAAATGGACAGAACCAGAATCATTCTGTGTGGAAAAGAGGTGGTTTAGAAGAGAGGGGGCGGTGGCTGTGTTCATCCTGGGGAGTAGCATAGCAAGGAACAAACAGACAAGGTTCAAGAGGATGAAATGAACTCCTCCTTCAGGAAAGAAATTACTAGGCTTGGACATGAAGAAACTGTTGTGTTGCAGAATGGATATTTCTATTCCCTGCTCTACTCCATTGTCTGGGCCAGTACCTATGGAAGGCAGATTAACACCAGAGAGCATTTAGTAATTTTAGTAATTTTCTCAGGTGAAGAACCAGAAACTCTTTTTACATAGTAGTCCATAAAAGCTATGCTAAGAAGAAACCCATTCTGGCAGTGAGAAAGTTTGTGCTGTTTTATCATCCTCTCCCCACCCTGCTACCCAGCCCAAAGTAGAACCCAGAACAGCACACACATAATCACACTCAACACACAAATACACACACACAGAGGACATAATCACACTCACACATACACACAGAGGACATAATCACACTCACACACACACACACAGAGGACATAATCACACTCTCACACACACACAGGACATAATCACACACACACACTCACACTGCACATATTACACTCACACTGGACATACACACACACACACTGGCACACGCACATACTCAGATGTACTCATACACGTGCTCAGACTTGCACATACACTCAAAAGTAACCAAACACAAGTGCTCACACTTGCATTCACATACATGCTCCCAGGTGCAAACACACACGCTCCCAGGTGCAAACACACACACAAACTCATACCTGAGCCCATCAAGAAGAGAGCTGGGGGAACAAATGACCATGCCTGAGCCTGGGGAGAACAGATGGAGCCAGGCAGAGAGTCCTGGTGGGAGGCTTTCAGCCCTGCGCTTCCCCACATCTGCAATGTCCTTCGTGATCATGTCCACACACCTCCAAATCTTACCCACATGTAGGTGCCCCCAGCCAGAGAGGCTGCTCAGCCCTTGTTCTTGGGAACTGCTTCCACTGCACAAAGAGGGGTCTTAGCAGCCATGTTTCTGGGGACAGTTCCCCTGGCCATAGCTAATGAGTTTACAGACTGGAGTCCTGACACTCTGCTTGATTAATCACATTAGATCACCTGGAAACTGAATGTTTCATCAGAGAAACAAAGAATGTTTGGCACTGAATTACATTGACAGGGGAACTCTCTGGGGAAGGGCCACAGATTCCACCACAGGGTCCCTGAAGATCTTTGCTTCTCACCCCTACCTGAGACTTACTTGTTGAGTTTTTTCATGGGTTCTGTGAGATAGTAGAGTCTGCTGCCTGTGAACACCTTTTGTTACAAAAGCTAGACTCACTTTAATTTATTTGCAAAAAAACAATTAATATACCATCCATTGTAATTCTATTCAAATATCCACTCCTGCCCATGTCTCCAGCTAGAAGAAATCTGTTCATCCTCAGAGCATTCAAAGCATTTTTATGGCCTCATTTTCTTCCCTGTACCATTCATTTCTCTCTTACCCTTAGTACTAGATCATATGCTCCTTTAAGGTACAAGTTATGTTTTTTTGTTTTGTTTTTTGTTTGAGACAGGGTCTTGTTCTGTTATCCAGGATGGAGTGCAGTGGCATGATCATAGCTCACTACAGCCTTGACCTCCTGGATTCAAGGGATCCTCCCAACTCAGCCTCCCAAGTAGCTGCGACTATAGGTGCACCACCACAGCTGGTTAATTTTTCATTTAAAAAAAATTTAGTAGAGACAAGGTCTTGCCATGTTGCCCAGGCTGGTGTCAAACCCATGAGCTCAAGCGATCCTCCCACCTCAGCCTCCCAAAAGTGCTGGGATTACAGGTGTAAGCCATCACACCTGACCAGAAGCCATATTTTACTTTATCTTTTTAGCCCACTTAGCAATTAGCACTGTGCCTTCCACACAATAGTTTTTGATAAGCATTTGTTGTACGAATGTGCAAATGCATGATTGAATAAGTGAGCTAATAAGTGATCTCAGGTGATGTTAAGTATGTCTTTTACTTTTCCTCCAGGAATTTATGGGGTCTTGGTCTCAGAAGCTAAATCTCCTCACATGTGAATCAATTCATTTTGTTTCAACATACATTTGTTGACATCAAACATGTGCCAGACCCTGTACAAAGAGGACACAAAATGAGTAAGACATGGACTGTCCTTAAGGAACTCATGTTCTCACTGCACCAAGGGTGGAGGTTGTGAATAAGGCAAAGGAACACAGCTCCCCGCCCCGTTCACCCTGTACACAGCCCTGTACACCCTGTTCCCGGGAACAGCAGAGGTAGGAAAGTCACAAATTGTACATCCACCCCAATCTTGCAACAAGAGTGTATTAAAAGCCATTTTTCAAGGCTGAGTAAGAGTTTGTGACCTGATAGACGATGGCTGGCAAACTCATTTCATCATAAATATCACAGCAGATAATATACTTCAATACAAGTGATGCATCTGCCTATGCCAGGATCCTCAGAGTGAGTAATGCTCCTCCAATATGGGCTTCTGAAAGATAAACAAATTATGGGCTGTAATTACCTGACATTTGAGTTTCCTTTTTATGAGATTTTCTTCACTCTAATCACACTCAGAGTGGGAGGATGGAAGATACAATTGGGGCTTAAAGAAGGGAAGAAGAGGGGTCTGCTCTCTCAGCAGAGAGGCGGATGCCAGATAAACAGCTCCTAAAGAAGGTGCTGGTGCTTCTGTCCCTCTGGAATGAGAGGAAAGGCTCAGCAAGTAGGAAGATGTGCAGAAAGTGGAGAAATGAGAAAGGAGAGAGAGTGGTGATTTCTCAAGTGTGTGCATTTTTAGACGATGCCTGTGACAGAAAAGAAATTCTCTTCTCTGACGCATACATATCACATAAAGACATAATGCATGCTATGCAGACAGAATTCTACATCTTCAAACTCTCCCCGCTGCAGAGCTCAGGCGGAGATTCACACACTCTCTAGCCCACTGTGGACCTTGAATTTGACCCTTCCTCCTTTCTGAAGGCAGCATTTCTCATCTCCCCTTCAAAGGTTTGCCTTAAACTTCACTTTTACAAATCCTTTACCTCCTGATAGGCTCCTGTCTGCCAACATCGATTGTTCCTCCAAAATGTTTCCTCTATGGGCCTGTTGTTAATATTTGTACTTGAAAATTAAACCTCTCCTTACACAGGGGACCAGACTCTATTGAGTCTGTGGCTTCTTCTGAAGGGTCAGAGAAATATTTCAAGATGGGAAGGAAGTGTGCCATAAAAAATAATAAATCAACAAATGAGAGGGTCACAGTGTAATGTAGTAATCTCTAAATTGGACGTCAGGAAATCTGGGTTTAATTAGAATCTTCACTGTTTCTTATGAAAGTGATGTTTCTTTGCTTCAAGTCAATTTTCTCCTCACTTAAAATGGGAATCACTTATTTGGTAGGTTGCTTTAAGGATCCAACGTCATAATATCCATAAAATTCCATGTCACCTTCTGGGTTCCATAAATATTTATTTCATCCCAGCCTCCTAAGTCTGAATAATAAAGGACTATAAATGTGCACAGCATTCTTTGTTGTACTTTTGAAGGTCTTTTCACACTAACAACATTCTCCAGAGGCAGGAAAGACTAAAGCAGTTGCCTTTTTTTTAATTGATGAAGCCATTGAAAGAATTCAGGGAGGTTAAGAGACTTGCCCAGAGCTATGTGGAGACTGAAAACCCAGATTCTTGAACCTTTCTGTGGTCCTCAAAGACAGCATACTTACCTGGGAGGGTCAGGTCAAAAGGGGGTCCCTTTTATGAACTATTTAAAAACTCCTGGCATTTCTGAGCAGAGAAGCAGCCCATGTGGCAACTGAGGTGTGAATCCAGTGGATATGAACTTTGCCTCAAAGAAAATGAGCCAGCTGACACCTGATGCCAGAAATGCAATGGGTGAGATCAATGGTTTGAATCTGAAAAAAGGCAGTGGGGGGGGTGGGGTGTGTGGGGGGCGTGCTATGCATAGGGAGAAGAAGTATGCATGAACTTAGTGATAAATTCATTTGTTTCCTAGGGTACCACAAATTGGTGGCTTAAAAGAACATATTATCTCACTGTTCTGGGAGCTAGAGATCCAAAATCAAGATGTCAGCAGGGTCATGTTCTCTCTGAAGGTGCTAGGGAAGATTCCTTCCTTGACTCTTTGTAGTTTTGGGTTATTGCCAGCAATTCATGGTGTTCCTTGGCTTGTAGACACATTGCTTCAGTCTCTTGTTTCCGTAGTCACACAGTGATCTGCCAGGGTGTGTCTGTTTTTGTGTCTCTTCTCCTCTCCTTATGAGGATACCATCATATTGGATTCATGGTGCACCTGTACCAGAATGACCTCATCTTAACTGAGATGGCCATTAATTAAATAACCAATTGAATAATTAAATAACCAATTAAATAGGTCATTTGCAATGACCCAATTTCCAAATAGAACCACATTCTGAGGCTCCAGGTAGGACACAAATTTTGGGGGAACACTATTCAACCCAGCACAATAAGAAAATGAGAGCCAAGCTGAGGAGGAAGAATGAAAACCTGAGAAAGAAAACTAGGTGAAGAGGGAGACTATGAGACAGAAGACAGACAAAGTAGAGAGTGAGACAGAGACCAGAGGAGACAGAAGTGGAAAGACAGAGTGAAAAGATGAGAAAGGAAGAGAAAGAGAAGGATGCTAGTGAAGCACAGATACACAGACCCCTGCACACACCATGTGGGAGACACACAACAACTTGGTGTTTAAAGAATTTCCCCCAAATATGCACCTTCTCTCCCACTAGATGCCCACTGGGCAGCCCTAAAGCTGTTACTGTAGAAACTGAAGTAGACATCCTCTTTGGGGTTAATAGATGGCCCCAGTAAGAGAGACCAGTTAGTCCGTTGGCCCTCACATTCCTACTTCCTCCCATGACTCTGGCTCCAGGGGCTTCCAGTTTTCAACGTTAGAACCTCCGTGATGGTTTTTCAAAAAAAAGTCTTTTTTTCAAAAGGCCAATTTTCAGGTGGTGTTATGTTTATTTACCTCCTATAGAGCAGAAAATGGGCCACTCAGGAGATGCGATGATGACACTTCCCCCTTGAGAAGCAGCTGTTCCTAGCTTCTGGCAAGCTGCTTAGGGTCAGACTGTCCCCATTTTTCATCCAACCAGATGTCATCCAGCGTTATTCTACAGATTCCATGTCCTGGTCTTTTCCAACTCACTGGAGTTTTCCAAAGATCTCCAAAGAGGTGCTAGCCACTTTAGTATCAGCCAAAACTGACACCAGGAAGGAGGAATCATAAATTAGCAGTAGGAAGGAGGCCTTGGGGCTGGCAGAACACCAGTGTGCAGTGTGTGTGTGTGTGTGTGTGTGTGTGTGTAAGGGGGAGGTTTTCATGGAGAAATAGGTGGAGGTAGAAAGATATCCATCAATATAGACCAAGACCAAGCCATTTCCAAGTTACGGGGCTCTAGAACCCTCTTTGTCATTGGAAAAATCACGCATTCACTCAGAACAGAAAGTCACATAGGACAGCCAGAATTTATAAGCTAAGATGTGCTAAGTCTCCCCTTGCTTTATTTTCTTTTGCCATATTGAAAATTTAGTGAGTTTGGCTTTAGGATAATAGTCCCCACTCCTTCCCTATCATAGAAACCACCATTTAAAAAGAGAAAGCCACAAGCTTGCAGGTCTCCTAAGGGAAATTTCCCATGCCAGCCTGACCTGGCCAGTAGTGTGACGGGGGAGATGTGGGTGAAAGGACAGAGGTGGGCAGACACCACCATAGCATCGTGCTCAGCCGCTGTGCCATCCCTTCGGAGCAGTGAGAGGAAGAGCCCTCTACTGGCAGGAGCATCTTCTGGGCTTCTGGGCTCCCCAGTCCTCTCACCTCCCACAGCAGGAAAGGCAGTGAGGTGCGCAAGCCCATCTCCAGGGACAGCCACAGAAAGAGCAGTGAGTTAGGAGACATTTATCTCACATGGCCACACAATGGAGCATATGCCTTAATTGTCATAGCAGCTGTTATTCATTCGTTGTTTCTCTTATTTACTCATTCATAGTTTTTTTTTTTTTTGTCACCACGGTTACAGTGGTCTATGTTAAGTACTGAAGGTATCAAGATGAAAAAAAGCTCAGTTCCTAATTTTAATTCAAAGCAAGAGCAAAGCAAGAAAAAGGAAGTGTAGGGGCTGAGTGCTCAGGGTCACAAACTATAAAGGAATGGATTCTTTCACCTGAAGGCAGGCTTTCCCATCGCCCCCACAGGGCTGCAGGTGTTTGGGGCCTCTTCTAACTCTGGATCTCTCCTCTGCCAGGTGTCTAGCACCTCCCTGATGACCTGATGACTTAAGACTCCCTTAGATCATTCTCACAATCAACTATGGCACCCTAACCCGTGGGCAGAATAAAAACCTCAGGTCAAGGTGGTAAAAGAATTCTGGAAAGGACTGGAGATGTGGAAGTTTGCAGAGGGAGGTGGTTATTACTGACCTGCCTCCCCTCCTCAGGGTTCTAGGTTAAAAGAGAAGGCCAGACAGCCCAAGGGTATGAAATACAGTGAAATAAACAAACCAAAACAGACACGAGTTTTAAGCAGAACTAAGTAAAATCTATGATTGCGCTATGTACCCATAGTTCTCTTGCTAGACAGAATATTACTTGACCTGAGAAATACCCAGCCTGTAAATTTTTTGTCTCTAATATATTCTTGTGGTGATGTCCTCTTTTAGCATCTGACCAGCAATATTCTTATTTGAAAGCTGCAGAGACTAACTGTGGGCTTGTCATTTGCCATCGGTTCCCCACCTTTCCCTTGCTCTGCTATGTCTTGCAGGGATGACGAGGCCCTCTTGCCAGCTGGACTCTGCCAATGTTTCTGCCAATGGTGCACTGGTGGCAGCCTGGGGAAAGACGGGGAGGGAGGTCAGGGTAGTTATTTCTTCCTTGCTTTGCCTCAGGCCATGCCTCTGACTACATTGCATCAGGTAAGCTTCATCTCCACTAGACAAGGCATGATTGAAGCTCACATTGGTTAGCTTCAGCCTCCTCCTCCCACTATGACTCCAGTCCTTTGTAATTAACAACATTCTGCAACTGTTCATCTTTAGGTTTCTTCACCATTGTTTGGCTTTTCAGCTTCCCCATCATCCACCAATCCAATTCCTGATATCCAATTCTCTCCATTGAAAAACCTAGAGGGGCTTATGTTTTCCTAAGGGAAACTTAATACATTTCTGACTTGTTTAGTAGCAAAGTAATTAACTAGAAGGATGTTGGGTCATTTACAGAATTGCCAGGAGGCAGAGGGGCTATGCAGCCAGACACAGAGCAAAGTTCATTCCACGGAAACGACAGCAAGGACTCCTCCGCAGCCACTGCTGGACTCCAGAATGTGATGACCACCATGAGAACTCCACCAGCTGTGATGCTGAGCCTACCTCTGCTGCCCTTGGACACTCACTCCCAAATAAAGTTCAGATTGCTCTCTCTGATTATCTAACTTGTTAAGTCCACATCATTTTCCCCACCCTAGCTTCAGAAGACTGGAAAATTGAGTTTCTGATATTTGTTAACAGAGTCCAGATCCACATTTCAGTGAGACTTGCAGGGTCAAGAATTCTCCAAATATCAGAAGGAGATCAGATGCAGAAGAGCCAAGAGAAATAAATAAATATTTGTCCCAGGAATAAGACCAGGAGTTAGAGGCTGAGTTTCAGCCCTAGGGTCAGCATGTGAAGAAGAGAATCTCTCTAAGATCACTATGTTAAAGGCAACAGAAAGACTAGAACTCTGGGTGGGAGCTTTTGCCCTATGAGTATAATCACAGGCCTTCTCAGTACCCTTCAAATTGATAATGGGCAACCAGTATTTACAACTATAGGATAGCACAGCTTCCTACCCAGGACTGAATGTCTACCTCACTAAGAGTACTTACCAGATTTGGGGATCAGTCCTGACCCTAGCCAGAGAGAACTTAAGGAATCTCTGGCTTCTGAATCCACTCTGAGGATCCACATTGATTCCTAAGACATTTCTTATTTCTAGGAACTAGGAACTAGGTTCCTACCTTGTACCTCTGACCCAGCTCCGGGGTCTTGCCCTTCTTCCTGGAACCCTGCTGATTCTTAAGAACAAAGGTATTAATTAACATCCCCATTCAATCCCTCTGAAGTGTGGGTCTTGCCTCAGCCCAGCAGTTTTTGTGGTGAGGTCCTCTTTGTCTACCTCCAGATTTGATCTTCCTGTAGTCGCCCCTGCCTGAGCAACAGCCAGCCTGAAATTCCTCCTGTTACCTGCTCTTAGAGGCAGCTTGACATAATAGCAAAAGGATGGATTTCCTTTACATCCTGGAAAGTCAGTCAGACCTGGGTTTTAATCCCAGCTCTAACACTTACTGCTTGTATGAGCTTGGTGGGCTTCTGTACTTACTGTTTCTCTTGTGGTTCTCAAACCTTAGTATGTAAGTGTCTAAGTATCTGCTGTCCTGTTGTGTTTGTTGAAAAGGCAGATTCCTAGTTTCCTTCTCTTGGAGATTCCATTCCTTAGGTCCAAGGTGATTGAGATGCAGGTGGTTTACAGACCACACTTTGAGAATCACTGCCCCACCAGGTTTCCAAGTCCTGTTCATTGTCAATGTGGTTGTCATTCATTCAGTCAGCACTTCCCAGGGTTCAGGTGGGCAGGGGATGTGAGTAAGTACAACCACATCCTCTTATGTTCCAGCTGGAGGTTCCACTTCACCCAGACCTCCTGTATTAGAATCTTGGGATAAAAATGGAGCTGACGTATGCAATTCACCAAAGTTCCACATGTATCTGTTATACAAACCTCTGGTTCAAAAGCCCTGTATTACTGCTTCAGTACCAGACTTGACTCCAGTCCCCTTCCTGCCTTAATTTCCCACCTCCCCATCCTGTGTTCCACTCATACCCTTAGCTTCCCTGCAGCCTTACTTAAGAATAGGGCATTTGCTCTTCATAGATGCCATTTCAATGAGAGTTCCCTCTCAAGAAAGCTAAGTCTTTTTTTATTCTCCAAGATTTTATCTGTATCCATTTGGCAGGAGAGTAGATTCTATTATGATCATTACCCATATGGACAAGCAGCCAAGATTTAATATCTGTTGGTCAATAATAGCTTTCATAACTAATAGCTCTTGATGACCATCTAGAGGGGAGTGTGACCTTCTTATCCTCCTGGTCCCCTTTGCTGGCACTCACATATCCTCCAAAAACTGGGGACCTTGATGCCCACATACATAAGGACCCCCCTTCTCCCGAGGGAGCACACAGCACTTATAACCAGAGTGGGGAAATGGAAGACTGACCTCTCCATCCTCAAAGCCCAACCCATGTTTCACCTCCTCCATGAAGCCGTTCCTGATTCCAGTGCCCTGTGCTACTTTCCCTTCTCAGATTTTCTACCACATGCCATATTACACAGCTTAGCACTGGACTGTGTCCTACTTTGGAATGCTGTTTTTTATTTTTATTTTTTGCTTGTACTTCTTGCTTATCTAGCAATATTGCAGACTCTCTTAGAACTAAATCTTGATTTTAGACTTTCCTTGAAGAATCATGGAGGTGAAAAGAGAAACAGATCAAGGATCTGCTCAAGGATGTCACATTGGAGTGGGAGAGGGGGCTGAGGACATTGACCTGCCTGTGGAGGCAGAGTCTTCAGGCATCTCCCTCCAGGGTGAAGCTGAGGTACAGTATTAAAGGCTGTCATCACCTCCAACATGACTCAGGTCACAGTTGCTGGAGGAAGACCCACTGGTAGGAGAAAGGAAGTGCAAAGGACAGAGCACAAAGAATCCAGGTAGCTGTTGGTAAATACCAACAAGCAGTCACAATCCAAGGAATGTCCACTATCAGCTAGATGCAAAGTAATGGACTAGGGCATAATCCACCAGTTTTGTGGATCCAGGAAGAGGCAGAGTAGGGGTCCCAAGGCACCAGAATGGGATTTTCATTAGGTAACCAGCATTAGAGAGACTGAGCTCATGGACAGGAAAATCATCAAAATTACAGAGTGGAGCCTTCGAGACAGACACAAAAGAACTGTCTCGGAGGCTGACTCTGCTCAAATCCTCAGCAGCTTCTCTGGTCCTCCTGCTCCACCTCATCACCCCAGGGGATTTCTCCAGGCTTGAGAATTGACTCCCTCTCTCTCCTGTGCTGAGCTCTGTGGCAGGTTCTCTGGTTCCCAATATTTCAAGACTCCAACTTTGCTCCGCTTTCACTCAAGTTTGCAGTGGCAGAGGCTGTAGAAGTGAAGTCTGGCTGGCCCTTTCTAATGCCACAGTGCCCAGAATCATGCTAAGTATATATATGGTGGCCATCCATTCGGATACATCAAATAAATACAGCTCACTTAAGCAAGTGCACACCAGAAGGGTGTCAAGAAACCCGGGAGATGGTGAGCCTTCTTCAGAATTCATCTAGATGTCCCCATTATCCTCTCTGTAACTTCTTACGTTCCTCTTCTCTTAAAGAGACCTGGGCTCAAATCTGCCATTTACTAACCTGGTACCTTGGGTAAGTTATTATCTTTAAAAAATGGAGATAGCAGAGCCTATGAATAAGCAGCCTATGTCCCCAGTCTCTGGGGGTGCACTGGCTAGCCTGCCACTCCCCTACCTCACACATCAAATGGTAGGATCTGAGAAGTGGTGCTCAGTGTTAATTGACTTGACCACTTGACTATGACTAAAGATATCAAGAGGCAAGCACTCATTTATAGCAAGTGGGAGAAACATCAGTACATTTTTTCTGGGCACTGGGGATGGCATAGTTCAGTGTTTGTGAGATGGGCTGGTAGTTTGTTTGCAAGGCTAGGCACAAACTCTCTTGAAAGACAAATCACCATATAAATGCTTTAGCATCAGGGCAGCATTAGGGCATGAGTCATGCTCAAAAGATGGATGAAAATGAGGGACAGGGATACCAAGGAGGCAGGATTATGAAGGAGCAAGGACTCTTTTGCTCAGGCCCCCTCCCCCAGATTCTGTGTCAAGGTTTCAGTATGTTTTTAATCACTTTACTATTACTTATAAAAACCAATAGCAGGTGCCTGATGGAAGAAGAAAATAATGATTCAAGCTTGAGAGTCATTTTCCAGTTGATTTCCTTTCTCTTCATTTCCTTTTGACCTCAGTAGGGAAGGCATAGCCTCACTATTCAAAGAAACCATAACTCAGTCCTCACTTACGGACTTTGTTTAAGAAAGTGCTTAATATTTTTCTTCTTATGTCCAAGGGAACTACATTTTAGGTGTTTAATCATCTTTACAGCCCCCAAATATCTGGGATTTATGGAAAGCATTTAAACTCAGTTGAAAAAAATAAAAACAGAGTGTCCTAAATTCAGGGTAAATTTTTACTCTTGTTATGGGTGTTAATTTATGATTCGACAATGATTTCAAGGCTTTACTTCAAATCTTCTGAGGCTTATATTTTCTTATTATTCAACCTGGTTTTATTCTCAGTGTCAAATGAATCACACATTCAATCACACAGAGCACAATGTTCCCCCAAAACACATAATTCAGAGTCTTAGCCTATGGAATTATGAACCCCCTGGGAGGAAGATCAAGGGAGTCCTTGTGGTCTTTCATTCCCCCTGGTGATGAAAATGCCTTATCCTTCAAAAGACTGATTTTTGAGGGGCCAATGCTCCTGGGAGCTAGGTCTTGATGCCAGAGTGTCTCAGCTGTCCTAAGTACAGAATACGGTTCCTGGCCACTGCAATACCATGAGGAGTATTGGGAAAGTCTAAACTCAAGATTTTATTCCAAAGGAATGAAGTAGTTTTGAGAAGAGTTGATCTAGACTTACCAAAGTGGCCTTAAGTGAATCCTCCACTCATGCTTTGGAGGGGGAAGAAGCTGAGACTTGGGGCCTCAACTTTAGTAGTCACGTCTTCTCACTATTAGGTAAGAGACAAGAAGAGTGGTTAGAACCAATCAGGGAGTGGGGGACTCCTGGCAGGTTTTGGATTGCAGGGAAAAAAACCCTATTACACTCCATCCAACCATCCTTGCTCCTGCCCAGGGCTGCAGGCACTCTAGAAAACATCTCTGCAGCCACCATCTCAGGGCAGAGCCCAGGCCCCATGGCTTATCCTGGCTTTGAACCTCCGGCTTTCCTGAATGCTGTCCCTCACTTAGATTCTCCCTTTCTGACTAGCCTCTCCAAACTGAAGCCTTGTTTCCATAGCCTGCCTGGATTTGGAATGCAACTGCTCACCTAGATGACTTTCTCAGTCCCATATTCCTCACCTGTAGGTGGGTAATGGCCTTACCTTCACACTCTACCCAAGTCCTCAGGATGCCCACATCTCCACTTTCATAGAAGGGAGATTAGACAGCCTGTGACTGACATTTGCTGAGGGAGAATGAAGTGTGGCCCAGGCTCTCCCGTGTGCCACACTTCCTGTGTCTCTCACCTTCAATCCAGCATGTGCCCACGGAAGCCACTCTGGTCTGCTCTCCCAGAGGTGAACTGCACTCTGGCTCTCTTCCTCCACCTTTCTCCATGAGCACTGGCATTCACATGTCCTACAAGGGCCTAGTAGGTCAGAGATATATTGATTTCTGATCAGCCAAAAACAGCAGTAACTTTTCAAAAGCATATTTAAGGGAGAATATCTTAACAAAGAAATGAGACGTGGAATTATAAAACTTCAACTAGCTGGATGGAGGAATGATTTGGGAGAAAAACATTCAGTGGTATTGCTCAATTCATATTATATAGAATAAAAAGACACTAGAAGAAAGAAATAAACTACTATTTATTTAGTACCTATTATCTGCAAGACCCTATGATGCATTTTTCCTCATACATTACTTAATTTTATTCTATAAACAGTTTACCAAAATACTGTCTTACTTTTACAAAACAGAATTGAAATGTAAAGAGATTAAGAAAATTAACTCATGATACTCAGCTAGTAAATTGCAGAACTGGGGTTCAAATCCAGGCCTATATTTTCTCCTAAATTTAGGAGTTTTCTATTCCAACGCTTTTGTCATAGTAGGCTTTCAGCTTCAGGAAGTCACTTGAATCTGATGCTGACATTCTTTTCTGAGCAGGAGCTGGCAGTGGTAGACATGGGACACCATCCTCCATCCCAACTCTCTCCTCCAGCCCTGATGCCACTTGCCACCCAAGTGAAAGATACAGGTTGAGCTGCCCACACTTGTTCTTGCCCCAGGCCCACTAGAGAGCAGACTACCTGACACACTGGCCCCTTGTCACCTTGGAACAAGGCCTTTCCCACTTATAGAGACCCTAGAACTCTCAGGAACCCCATATTGCTCTTCACTCTGCAGAGCTGTTCTTCAGAGGCAACGGTGCTGAAGAGAAGGATCTGGATCTGGGCCCCTAATGAAACTCCCCACTAGACTACTGCTTCAGCTTAACCAAACTGGAAATTTGAGCCAATTCTTCTTTATTCTGCTACCCATCTCAGAAAGCAACTTGCAGAGGTCAAGGACAGCAGAGAGTCTTCTTAGCTTCCAATCATTCTGCTTCTTACTATGAACATGATCCATTCAAGTGCAAGAAACCTGTAAGTTCAGGGCTAAGCTGCCATTGAAATGTCTGAGTGCTTAAGAAGCAGGAAAGAAAATGCATGATGCTTTTAAGAAACCACTATTAGCAAAACAATCTCAAATAAACCCAGAAAGTCCTGATAGAGCTGGATGACTCCTACCCAGCCTCAGGGGTCATTCATTTACCAATTTATGATTCAGAGACTATCACTGCTGGCTCAGTCTCTCTCCTATCCCAATCATTGTCCACCTACCAAACTGACCTGTTAGTGGTAGATCTGCCAACAGCCACTCATAGAGCACCAGAAACAATGCCCTCCTCTCTCCCTCCCACCACCACTTATCTTCTCCAGAAATAAAGGGTTAATGCAGGAACTCCTAAGACCCACAATACTCATGACTCACACTGTGGTTAACCAAAAGAACCTACCTTCCTCAAGTCCAAGTCATTACTTCTCTGTACCTCTCTGGACAAGCAGAGAGGCAGGTGTGAGTCAGTGGATCTAAAAGGTGAAGCATAAAGCTATTACAAATTAATAAGAAAAAGTCAAGCACATTGTAGGGGACTGAATTGTGTCCCCTAAAAATATATGTTCAAGTCCTAATGCCCTAGGGCCAATGAACACAACCTGATTTGGAAGTAGGGTCTTTGCAGATGCAGTCAATTTAAGATGAAATACTGCATTAGAGTATGCCCTAAATCCAATAATTGGTGTCCTTATAAGGAGATGAAGATTTAGAGACACACAGATAAGCATGGAGAGAAGACAGTTGTCTGAAGGCGACAGAAATTGAGTAATGCAGCTGTAAGCCAAGGAATACCAAAGAATGCCAGCAAACCCCAGAAGCTAGAAAGAGGCAAGGAAGAATTCTTTCTTAAGAGTCTTCAGAGGGAACGTAGCCCTACCAACACCTTGATTTCAGATATCTAGCGTCTAGAACTATGAAAGAATATATTTCTGTTGCTTTAAGCCACCAAGTTTGTAGTAATTTGTTATGGCAGCCCTAGGAAACTAATATATGCACCATGGGGGGTAAAATAGCAGAATGATATGTAAAAGCAAATCATGAAAGAAGAAATGTAAATGACAATAAAAAATGTAAACCATTTTCAGCCTCGGTGGAAAGAAATATGACTTAAAACAATGATATGTCCTTTTTACTTTTCAGATGGCTAAGATTAAAAAGAATTATAATGCCTGGTGTCAGCATGGGGGGTGGGAAATGGACATCTATTCACTGCTTTTGGGAATAGGCGAGAACAACAAATTCTAGAGAATAATATGGTAATATATATCAAAAGCTGTAAAATCATTATATTCTAGGAAATAATAAGGTAAGGTGCAAATATCTATGCATAATACTATTTCCATCAAAGCATTACTTATAGCAAACTTAAAAAGGGAAAGAAATTTAAAGTTCAAACAATAGGAATTGTTAAATAATTTATGTTATGTTCACACAATAAAATTACTATGAAGCCATTAAAATTGATGATATCGATTCATATTTATCGACAAGAAGAGATGTTCAAATATATTGCCAAGTGAGAAAAATAGCCTAATCTAATCTTCTGTGTGTGCCTGCATGCCTGTGTGTGTGTGTGTGTGTGTGTGTGTGTGTGTGTGTGTGTGTAGAGAGAGAGAGAACTAAGGATGGGCACTGTGTTACTGGCTGCTAACGTTATGAATTATTTGTGTTTTCAATTCTTTAATTTTTCCAAAGTGAAAATCAATACTTTAAAAAATTAGTACATGTTTCAAATGAAGGAGATGGATTGGAGAGCTTCTGCTGCTGAGCTACATCCCTACAATGTGTCCAGAACAAAGGGTACTAGGGCGGCCTGCCTACACCCCTTTGTCCAGCACAGGAAGCCAATTGTTCAGAGCAGGCCAAAGGTCCACAATGGGCCGAGGACAAACAAACATTTCCCTTGTCTTTTCTTACCTCAACTTGACTCTGCTCTGAACCCTTAAGCACACCCTCCCAGACCTCCCTGTCTCACCTCCAAATCAACCAGCTCTTCCTTCAGCTCCCATTTTGAAGGTTTTCTACCCCCTCCTTATTACCTACCCCTCACTTTTGACCCGGGCCTAGTAATAAAATCATGTTTTTCTTCCCACTTTCACTTGGTAGCCCTGCTACCTGTAGAAATGTCCACTTTCCTCACTACAGCATGAGCTCCATGAAGTCATGGGGAACTGGTCCACCTGCACCGCCAGGGCCCAAGGCTGTACCTGACCCACTTGTGTTTATTGGGTTGAAGTGAATCATGCAATTGCTAGAACCCAAATGGACCTGGAAATCAATACCAATCAACTTTCTCACTTTACAGACAAGGGAGTGAAAGACTCAGAAAACCAAAATGACTGGCCAGTGGCCAAATCAGACGAGAGGCCAGAACCCCTGACTCCTAGATAGCATTTCTCCTACTGCGTCACACTGACTCTCTAAAGAAGCAATGGTCCCTTAGGCCTGGGCCACAGGATCCCTCTGGAGTTCAGGAGGAAACTGAGTGGCTCCCTCAGAGCCTTCAGCAAGTTTGATGATCCCTTCCCCAGATTCCTCCCACATTCTCTTTCCTGTATTCCCACCCTCAGGCACTTCCAACTGGGTGAGCTTCTGGATCAGCTGCCTTTCTCTGACACCCTGCCCTGCTCTTTGCCAGCCGTCCTTTCCCTGGCCGCCCTCCCAGCCCAGACCCATTTCATTGGTCCCTCTCTGATGTCCTTGTACCTTCTGACCCCATTTCTTATCACCCCTCCACTACCCTGCACCCCAGTCTCAACCCCAAGTCCACTCCTGGGCCCAGCCTCCTGGGTCCAGTCACGGAGAAAAAGTGAACTGTTGCTCCCCTCAGGCCTCACATTCTCCTTTCCAAGGCCATGTTTACACCTAGGTTCCTCCCACCCAGGTCTGTTGAGCGCTCAGCCTGCCCCCAGGTGACAGCTCAGAACCTCTCTGCTTCAGCCCAAAGGCAAGTGCTCCTGATCAGCTTTGCTAAATGCTCCATCACCCAAAAGTGGAGAATCCCTTCTCGCAGCCCCCTGCCCTTCCCCCATCATGGCAAGGCAGACCACAGCCAGCTCAATCTCCTCCCAAAGGAAGGGCCAGCACCATTGCCCCATGGGGCCCTAAGGTTCAGGGGCTGGGGACTGGCTTGCTTGCTTGCTTGCTTTTTCTTTCTTTCTCTTTCTTTCTTTCTCTCTCTCTTCCCTTCTTTCTTTCCTTCTTTCTCTCTTTCCATCTTTCTCTCTTTCCCTCTTTCCCTCTTTCCCTCTTTCTCTCTCTCTTTCTTTCTTTCTTTTGACAGGGTCTTGTTCTGTCACCCAGGCTGGAGAACAGTGGTGCAACCTTCGCTCATGGCAGCCTCGACCTCCTGGGTTCAAGCAGTTCTCCCACCTCAGCCTCCTAAGTAATTGGGGCTACAGGCATGCACCACCACACCTGGTTAATTTTTTTTTTTTTTTTTTTTGGTAGAGACAAGGTTTCGCCCAGGCTGGTCTCCAACTCCTGGGCTCAAGCGATCCACTCACCTCAGCCTCCCAGAGTGCTGGGATTAGAGGCATGAGCCACTGTGCCTGGCCAAATACTCACTTTTATCTGCTAGGAAATGAGCACTTAATTTCTCAGAAGCTTACCAGGGCTCTTAGGGGACAATAAATACTCTCTGTTGCCACTTACTCCAGCTCAATTTTAGCCTGTGGGCCTGTGGTGGTTACCCCTGGGAGAAAAAAGAAGAGAAAAGTGGTTGAGAGATAACTCAGGAACAGGACCAAAAGCAAAAGGTAAGAATTCTATAAACAAGGGCATTGGGTTCTCCAGCTGAGCGCCACAGAAACCAAGTTCCTTGGGGTCCTGGTGAGGTGGTAAGTGGGAGGCTGAGCTGATAGGGCTGAAAGCCCTCCCCTCAATTCACCTAAAGGAACTCCACACTTAGATCACTTACATATTTTGAATACCTTCAGATTGTATTTGAAAAATGGACACCATTGTTAAAATCAAGGTTTAAAAAACACTTAACTAGGGTAACTCAAGGAAGATCCCATCTTAGGACTAAGGCAATAGTCCAGTTTGCATGACGGGAACCTGTATTCATTCATCCACTAAACAAATACTCTGAGACACTACTATACACCAGGCAATGAATCAAGGTCAGGCTAACCTGGCTTACTGCAGAGACAGAAATATCTGACACTTCAGGTTAGGACTGGTTCTGAGGATTGGGAGCCTGCCTTGGCTTATGTTCCGGGTGTCTAACAAGCCATCCCAAATATAGGGCTGGAAACAACAAGCATTTATTTTGTTCACAAACATGCAACGTGAGCAGGGTTTGGTGGGGACAGCTCGTTTTGCTCCATGCAGAGAATCATCAGAAGTCTTGCTCATGTGTTTGGCAGTTAATGCTGGCTTCTGGCTGGGGCCTCAGCTGGAGCTGTCAGCTGAAACATCTAACATGGCTGTCCATGTACTTGTCTGCCTCCCCACAGTGCAGTGGCTGGGTTCCAACAGTGAGCATCCCAGAAGAGAGAAGTGGCAGCTTCCAGTTTCTTAAGGCCCAGGGCTGGACACTGGCACATTGCTACTTCCCCTATATTCTAATAGTGAAGTAGTCACAGAGCGCAGATTCAAGGAAAGGGGGCAGAGACCCCACCTCTTGGTGAGAAGAGAGTCAAAGACCTTTGGGGTCCTGTCTTAAAATTGCCACAGCCTCAGGGGCCTGTAATCCCAGCTACTTGGGAGGCTGAGGCAGAGAATAGCTTGAACCCAGGAGGTGGAGGTTGCAGTGAGCCAACATCACGCCACTGCACTCCAGCCTAGGCAACAGAGCAAGACTCCATCTCAAAAAAAAAAAAAAAAGTTGCCACAGCCTGCAAATCGGGAAGAAATGGCTCCAGCTATGGGGAGGGCTGTAAACCTACTAACCTGTACTCTTTGTCCAGAAAGTACAGTAGTTAAAAGCATGGGTTATGGTAACACTCACCTCTGGACACTCGTACTGCCCTATGGGACAACATGAAATTTGCTTATGCCCTCTGGCTTATGGCAGCTTGTCATCAATTCCATGATGCCTACCTTACCCAGTTCCTGGTCCCAAGAAATACCTAGGCCCCAGACTCAGCACTCTCAATATCTTCCTCCATTCCTTAACTGATTTGGTTTCCAGGTCCCCTTGCCAAGCTGGTCAGCATCCCTGGGAAATGTCTGTGCTTATATACATTTCTTGGAAAATGCCACCCCACACTCAATGCTCATGTCCCTGAATAGTGCCAGGTGCCAGTGGGCCTCATCTCCCTTGTTGTGGCTACTCCATCAACAGATACAGGCTGATGTCTTCAGCAGTCTCTTGGTTCAGTTACACATACCGACCTTGCAGTAGCCTCAAACTTTCTCCCCTGTGGTGCTATTAAACCCTAGCCCTTCATTCATAACAAATTCAATTTCACAGTTATTAAGAGGATATCCTGTGCTTAGGCAGTTGACAGTTTGGCACCAAAGAGTGGGATTCCACATTACCTACACGAGGGGAAAGCTGCAGTGCACTTTCCAGTGTTCCTCTCTTAAGGGCCCTTTAGCTAAAGGATCTTGTTGCCAGAGGTGCGGCAGTGGCATAGGCAGGAAGTGAAATATTACCTGCACAGTAATTTCCATCAAGTGTAAAATATGCAACAAGACCATGAAATAATCTTGAGATATTCCAATATCAGATTTCACTTCTCCTGCCAAACCGGCCATCCTTCTCCCTCCTAAGAGAGGACACATCCAAGAAAAGATTTGGCTCCTAAACTGACAGTTGGTGGCACGCGG